>NC_000007.14:143406779-143650804 GCF_000001405.40 Homo sapiens
CACAGGTCACCGAAGTGATTTGTGTTGAGAGTGCAGTAGGAAAAAACTGAGTTTGGTTTTTTGTACATCATAAGAGCTGCTCTCTGCATTTGAGTCTGAATATGCTCTCTCAGACCCACCTCACAACCTGTTCACTGAGTCTTAGGAACATCCAAGGAAGGAAGGGAACTGGAACAAGCTCTGACACTTTCAAACAGCTGGAATGCATGGTGTGCACGCAGTCAGCCTGAGGAGGTGTGGAGGATGAGCTAAGGGCTCAGAAACCTTTAGGGGAGCAGCTTTTAACTTCGGAGGAGTCAAAGACCCTTTGAAGAATTTGATGAAAGCTTTGGCTGGTCTCTCCAGAAAAAAAAATGCCCGCTTACATATACAGAATTTAGAGTACACTTTCATGGGGTTTCCCCACCCCCTGAAACCTATCAATGCAACTTCATTGGGATGAATGGATCTCAGATTGAGGATGCTTTTCTGCCTTTTCTATCCCTCCCCAAGCAAAGCACTGGTCTCAGCCTTCAACCATCCCCAGCATGGTGCATTCTCTCCCCGGGTATGTGAGCTCCTCTCCCCCTCACAAGTATCAGCTTGTATTCACAATATTCCCAAGTATTCACTGGAGGAGCCAGGCCATTCAAGCGTTCATCTTGAGGTGAAGTCTGACCCCCCCACCCCTTGTCCCATTGAGGAGGCTCTGACTCAGCCTCCTCTCCCCCTCCCTGAGGAGACACTTCCAGTTTTTCCTGCTCTTTTCTCTGTTCCTCCACCCACCTCTCCACCCCATTTCCCACTGGCCTTCAGGAGTTTTCCAAGATCCTTCCCTCTTCCGACACTTACCCCATCTTTTGGGGGATCCAGCAGCCAGCCCAGCTCTCCCTGTGCCTTGCTTGTGTCCATCAGAGTAACTGAAAGTGGGGAGAAAAGAAGTCTGTCACCTCTGGGGGAGGAGGTGCCCCTGCAGCCCACATTAATCATTCTGGGGCCTCAGCCCCAGGCTGCAACATCCTGTTCCTAAAAGCTGTGACTTCCTGAGGCTTAGGGGAGAAAAAGGGCTCAGGACTGAGGAGTGAAGAGCTCCAGGGATTTCACTCTTCTTTGTGTGTGTGAAGGAAGGCAGGTAGAGTGGGACAAGGGTTGGGGCGCTGGGTCTTTGACCAAAGTCAATGCAAGAAGAGCAGCCCCACGAGACGCTCAGTTACCCAGGCTGCTGCGTCCTGGGACACCCATCAGCTGCAGGATTGGAACGCGTGGAGGGCAGGAGGAGCTCACCTCTGCTAGCCAGGAGTGGGCAGGGTGGACCGGGGACCTCAGAAGGGGTTTCCTGGGTAGGGAGGCTCACCTCCACTGTCCGAAGCCTGCTTTGGCCTGACCTGGCCAGTGATCAGAGCCGTGAAGTGGGGATAAGAGGCACAGCTACCTGCCTGGGAAGTGGGGGGGAGTAAGGCCGGAGAGGGTGTTCCAACTTTCACATGGAATATTCGACTCGGACAACTGGGAACCCCTGTGGCGTCAGTCCTAACCCTTCTCCCGGAGGCAGCTCCCTCTGTCCCTGGCCTAGGTTGGCAGGAGGCGACTTCCCACCTTCAACTTCCAAGGGCTCAGATCTCTGGGGTGGGCACCTGAAGCTGGGACTGTCTGGGAATGCAGGCAGGGGTGCGGGTGCAGGTGCTACTTCCTGGCAAGGGTCCGGAATTCCCTCCCCACTCCCAGGAGCAGATTGCTGGCCTGCGGGAGTGGGGGTGACTGACCCGGGAGAGCAGCCGCTTGGGGTTAAAGACCAAAGATGGGCCTGGCCAGTCGATAGCCTGGCGGTCGGGCACAGCGAGAGAGCTGGCGAGGGTCTCGGGGAACATGGCCCCTAGGAATGCCGGCTTCTGCAGGGGGGTGCTGGCCGGGCCCCGGGAAGGGGCGGGGCGCGGGGGTTGGGGGCGCGGGGGCGGGGGTCGGTACCTTCCTTGGCGCGCGCCCCCGGGGGCAGCGGGGCGCAGAGCAGCAGCACCAGCCCTAGCCCCAGGGGCCAGCGCCGCTCCATAGCTCCGGGCCGGGACCTGGGACAGTGGCCCGGATGGCAGCGCCAGGTTGCAAGGGACTAGGAGAGCCGGGCGGGCCGGGCGGGGGCGGGGGGCGGGGCCAGCGCCGGGGGCGGAGTCCCGGCCTCACCTGGTTCACCTCCTTAAAGGGACAGTAGGGCAGGAAAGAAACTTGCTAGACTGGTAATCAAATTCAAGAACCGGAGGCGTCTTGACCCGAATGAGACTGCGGGCGCCGCCTAGTAGGTGGGATTAAGAATTGACGAACCTTTTCCCAATTCTAATCCTAAACTCAACCCAATCTTGATCCAGCTTTTAACCTAATTCTACCTCTGACTTGAATTACACTCCTATATTCCTCTTTCTGTCTTTGTGCAGGCCCCAGAGCTGGGTAATAGGGCCGGGGAAGGCAAGGGGTAAGAGTCATATCTTCACCCTCTAGCAGGGGAGGCTTAGATGACCACAATGCAAGGTGGGGTACAACCTGCAGTGAAGCATCTGGAGATTAGAAGAGGAAGCAAGCCCAGTCATCGGGGCACATTAGTTGAGTCTTCAGGGAGAGCTGGTGTGACCTGGGTTTTCAGTGGCAGAGATTGGGAAAGGCACCAGCAAGGGCCTGAAGGCAGGGAGCCTCAAGGTGCGCCCAGGGAGTGGTGAATGGACCAGTTTGACTGCTGGGGCGCAGGATTTGTCTTGGGAATCAGGGCAGAAAGGCAGGTGTGGGCCAGGGCTGGGTAAACAAGAAAAGGAGTTTGAACCTTGACATGCACTTACACAGCAGACATGAATATCTGGTTAAGGTTCCAGCCACAGGTGGCAGGGAAGGATATTTTAACCCATCTTAGTGGTGTCAAACCACGTGCCCTCTCACTTTCTTGCGGACTTCCTTATATTCTTTTTCTTTTTTGAGATGGAGTCTCGCTCTGTGGCCCAGGCTGCAGTGCAGTGGTGCAATCTTGGCTCACTGCAACCTCCGCCTCCCTGGTTCAAACGATCCTCCTGCCTCAGCCTCCCGAGTAACTGGGATCACAAGCGTCAAGCGTGCACCACCACACCCAGCTAATTTTTCTATTTTTAGTAGAGACGGGGTTTCACCATGTTGGCCAGCCTGGTGTCGAACTCCTGACCTTAGGTGATCCCTCCTGATCTCAAGTGATCTCCCTGCCTCTGCCTCCCAAAGTCCTGGAATTACAGGCCTGAGTTACTGCGCTCTGCCGAGACTTTCTTATATTCTATTTAGTAAATGTTTGTTCAGTTTCTGCTATGCATGCAGGAAGCTCTAGAAGCACCTAAGAACAGAAGGACAATGTCTTGCCCTATATAAGCTATTAATTTGGGGATGCTGGGGGTTGAGACATAAATAATTGCACAAATGATTGAAATGGCGGGCAGGAGTGGACCCCAGGCAAGGTACACACAGGGATCACAGTAGCTCAAAGGGGAGTGATGCATTTACTAAAGAGGCTGGGGGTCCACTCCTGGCCCCTCCTTCTTTCGCTCCATCCCATCTGGGTAAATTGTTCATAATTTTTCTATCATTTACATTGTTGCACATTTCGGTACTGTGAATGAAGGGAGGTGGTGGATTATAGGTGCTTTTTCTCATTTTCAAAATGTAATGCTTCTCAGGTTTTTTGTTTTTTTTTTTTGCTTTCTTATGCAGATACGTATATGACAAACACGGCCCATCAGTTCTTGGCTCAGACTATCCTTATTTGCATAAATAAATGTAATTCATGTACATTGGTTAGGAAATTCATGTTGAACATACAGAAACAAAATGGGAAGTAGAACCCTCTGCCCTCCAACACTCTAATTTCTGTTCCCCAAGTTAACCACCATCAACTGTTTCTTGTAAGTCCTCCCAGGATTGCTTCCTCGCTGTGTACACACCATCGTGTATTTTTCCCTCCCTCTCTCCCTCTACTCCCACACTTACATGCTTTTAAAATGTGTATACAGAGGGGCCATCTGACACACATTGCTCTGCACCAGAGGCCTCTTTTCTAATGTTAAAGACTCCAGGAAGGAGGAGGAGGCTCACGCTGGCTGGCGGGGGTCAGAGCTTTGTGATTTCAGCAGGGAGGAATGGGCGAAGGGTACAAAGCCAACAGAAGGGGGGAAATGGAGCAAGCGTTGGACAATTGCTGCTAGGACATAAGCCAGACTGTGGTGAGGTAATGCATGTGCTTGCTGCTGCAGTTTGTTAAAGTTACAAGACCCTTGGGACTCCAGAGGGTGGGGGGTGGGGGGTGGGTGTGTGGAGTGGGGGAGACTGCTCCATGCAGTGAGACATGGAGTCTAGAACCCTGGAAAAAAAAGTCTTGCTTTTTGTTTTAGGATAGGCTCTTTATCCTGGTCTGAAAGTCTCTGCATATGGGGAATGAATGTCCACTTTCTGTCTCCTTTCAGGATTATCTTGATTTGACATTTTCTGGTTAGTTTGTCATGAGAGGAGGCACATCTTCAAGTTTAGTCTCTGTTCTTAACTAGCAGTACAACTTTTGTCAAATTATTTATGTTCTCTGGACCATGGTTTCAGTTTCCCTAGACCTAGATGATTTCTGAGGCTATATTCAGGGATGGTCTCAGAAAATAAAAAGCTAGCAGGATTTTGAGTCAGGAGACTTTGGCCAGTTCCCTTAGCCATAATGTGCCTCAGTTTCCTTAGCTATAAAATGAGATTAATCACGTCCACCCCACAGAGTCAGTGTAATGATCAAAAGAGGAGAAAGTGCTTTATGAACTGTAAGGTACTGAGCAAATGTTAATTGGCTAGGAGAATGGTGGAGGCTAGGAATTGCTGGAGTTCTCCTGCAGGCCTCCCAGCTTGCTCCCAGAGCAGAACAACCTCAATTACTAAGACATCATTATTTTTCCATTCCAAAATCAACTTTACTGAGGGACAACTTGCATAAAATAAGTTGCAGCCATTCCAAGTGTACGGTTCAATGGGCTCTCACAAATGTATATGCACCACCACCTCAGTCAAGATGCAGAGCAGTTTCAGCATCTAAAAACATTCACTGGTGCTCCTGTGAATCAATCCCACCTCCAGCCTTAGGGTTTCTGTCCATTTGGGTGAGTTTTATCCTTTCCAGAATTTTATGCCGTCTCTGGACTCTGGGTCTTTCTCTTTAGTATGATGCTCCCAAGATCCATCCTTCTAAGACTCATCCTTCTAAGATCCATCTTTCTTGTTGCCTCCATCAACAGTTTCTCTTTTTCGATGCTGGGCAGTATTCCCTATAGAGATGCCCTAAGACATCATTTAAAATTACAAAATCAAACCCCAAAACTCCTCCTTTTTTTTGGTCCCCTAGGAACCACAGGCCTCGTAGCAGACAGGGCCTCCCAGAGGGACACCTCTTTCCCCTTCTGGCGTCTGGCCCTGTTCTCATTCTGCAGTCAGAAAGGAAAGCCTGCAGAGTCCCTGCAGCCCAGGCTGTGGCTTGTTCTTACAAACTTGACGTTAACACTACCCTGTTCATATTATTCCCCTTCTACTCCCTACCCAGCTCCTTTCTGACTGAGGATAAGGTGAAATTACACCCAGCCTAGGTCATGGTCTTGTATATCCATAGGCTCTGGTCAAAATGCAACCAACATCACCAGCAGGGTAACCCAGGATGTTGCTAGCAACTACTATGAGAGAATTAGTACAAACTAATTTTTTGGACTAGTATTGTCAGAGGCATGTGAACCAGAGCAACTCCATCTTGAGTAGGGGCTGGGTGAAATGAGGCTGAGATCTACTGGGCTGCATTCCCAGACAGTTAAGGCATTCTAAGTCACAGGATGAGATAAGAGGTAGGCACAAGTTACAGGTCATAAAAACCTTGCTGATAAAACAGTTTGCGGTAAAGAAGCTGGCCAAAACCCACCAAAACCAAGATGGCCACTAGAGGGTCCTGGGGTCGTCTTCACTGCTACACTCCCCCCAGCACCGATGACAATTTACAAATGCCATGGCAACGTGAGGAAGTTACCCTATATGGTCTAAAAAGGAGAGACGTGAATAATCTACCCCTTGTTTGGCATATAATCAATAAATAACCATAAAAATGGGCAACCAGCAACCCTGAGGGCTGCTCTGTTTATGGAGCAGCCATTCTTTATTCCTTTATTTTCCTAATCAACTGGCTTTTACTTTACTCTATGGACTCACCCTGAATTCTTTCTTGCATGAGATCCAAGAACCCTCTCTTGGGATCTTGATCCAGACCCCTTTCCTGTAACAGTATCAAGTCCCCTAGCAAGGGCCCTCATGGATGGGACCCAAACGACTTTGGTTGGCTGTTGTGGGCCAGCCCAAACTTGCAGGCAGCAAAATCCAGGAGACCGTGTGGGCTGTGGGAGGGAGGAAATGGCACTTACCAGTACAGCCTTCTGGTGGATTCTGCACGTCTTTAATCATAAGCCTAGTTAGGTCCTTCCCTTTCCTTCTTGTCTGTGTTCTTACCTATCTGTTCTCTGATCCCCATTTACCACCAGGCAACAGGGGCGGGGATAATAATAGTTACCACTTATTACAGCACCTACGCAGGCTGCCGCACTTCACATACATCGTTTCATTGACTTCTCACACCAACCCTCGGAGGAAGGTATCATTAGTCTCATTTTATAGGTGGAAAAATCTGAGACACCGGGAATTAAAGTAGTTCAAAGTCACTCAACTGCAGAACCAGGATTTAAACCTAGTTCTGTCTGACTCCCAGTCCTGTGGCCTAACCTCTATTCAGGGTTTCAAGAAGCAGAGATGTTAGCAAACACCTCACTTTTGTTTTACTACCCCGCCCCCCACCTGAGAGTAATATCCTGACTTAAAACACCACGGAGTGGATTTGCCTGTTTTTAAACTTTATGAAACGGAATCATCTGATATGCATTCTTTGGTGTCCGAGTTCTTTCATTTACCGTTACGTTTGGAAGATGTATTCCTTGGTTGTGTGTGGATTCAGTCTCATTGCTGTATGGTATCCCACTGTATAAAGAACACCTTATTTTTAAAAACTTCTTGACCTGTGGTTAAACAGGTTTAGGTTCTACCTTTGAATTGCTACATTGAGCGACTTTCATGGTTTATCCGGCTTATCTGTGTCTCTGAGAGGTTTAATCTTTCCAAACAAAACGTACTTCCTTTTTTTTTTTTTTTTTTTTTTTTTTTTTTTTTTTTTCAGGTGGAGTCTCGCTCTGTCGCCCAGGCTGGAGTGCACTGGCGCAATCTCGGCTCACTGCAAGCTCCGCCTCCCGGGTTACGTCATTCTCCTGCCTCAGCCTCCCGAATAGCTGGGACTACAGGCGCCCACCACCACGCCCGGCTAATTTTTTGTATTTTTAGTAGAGACGGGGTTTCACCGTGTTAGCCAGGATGGTCTCCATCTCCTGACCTCGTGATCTGCCCGCCTCGGCCTCCCAAAGTGCTGGGATTACAGGCATGAGCCACTGCGCCCGGCCGTACTTCCTTTTTTAAACTAGACTTTTGCTAACCCAAATGATTCTTTTTTTTTCTTTTTTGAGATGGAGTCTCACTCTGTTGCCCAGGCTGAAGTGCAGTGGAATGATCTCGGCTCACTGCAACCTCTGCCTCCCAGGTTCAAGCGATTCTCCTGCTTCAGCCTCCTGAGTAGCTGGGATTACAGGTACCTGCCACCATGCCCGGCTAATTTTTGTATTTTTAGTAGAGACGGGGTTTCACCATGTTGGCCAGGCTGGTCTCAAACTCCTGATCTCAAGTAATCTGCCCGTCTTGGCCTCCCAAAGTGCTGAAATTACAGGAGTGAGCCATGACACCCAGCCTCCTAACAACTTTTTAATTGATTAAAAGTATGCAGAGGCGGTCTGTAAGCAGTGCCACAGGTCCCAATTATACACCCTCCCCCTTAAACCCTGCATGTCCTCCCTTCTTCCAGTCAGTTTGCTAAGAGGAAGACACCCGATACTGTTTAGGAATCTGTCTTCTTGCTAGAAATAGAACTGTTTTGAGATAGAGGCGGTTGGAAGTTTTCTCTGAAGTGTCAAAAGCAAAGTTATATTTTAGAAGATTTTAATATTGTCACTTCATAGCCAAGTGATCTTGGGCAAATCACCTAGCTGTTTTGAGACTCCGCTTCCTCATCTGCAAAATGGGGGAAATGATGATAATGTTGTTGGTCATAGTATATGAGAAAAGTACAAATATGAGAAAGTGTACAAGCAAAAGCTTCTGGTGGCACCATGCAATTTAAGGATACATGTTTTTTATTTTTGTGTCCTCCTGTACAGGTTTATTTGCAAGATGGGTTTGAGGGAATTAAGGATAAAGTCTGCTGAAAGTAGCACCAGCCTCTGGATTAAAAGGGATGTTTGGATGAAGCTTCAATCTCAAGAAGAGGCAAGAGAAAACTAAAGAAAAAGGTAAGAGAGCCGGGTGTGGTGGCGGGCGCCTATAATCCCAGCTACTCAGGAGGCTGAGGCAGGAGAATTGCTTGAACCCAGGAGGCGGAGGTTGCAGTGAGCTGAGATTGTGCCACTGCACTCCAGCCTGGGCAACGAGCAAAACTCCATCTCAAAAAAAAAAAAAAAAGATGCTAAGAGAGATCACTTTCGACCCATTTACATTATGATGCAATATGAAAATAAAATAAATACCACTCTAACATTTTCAGGACATATGGCAATTCTCCCTGTGCTGATTTTTTTTAAATGTATCTCTGCAGTATTAACATCCTCTAAATCATTCTCTTTGTTTTAGAGACAAGAAGGTAGTTGACAAGCTGTGAACCTGCATTGCATTCTAGTGATGGGACACGTGGAAGGGGAAGCTGAAGTTGAAGGGTGGATGGTAGCAGCCACAGGGAGTGAGATGGGCTCGTTTCTGGAGCTGTTGGGAGAGAAAAAGGGAGTCAAACGGGAATTCACACAGGGTTGTGCATTATATCCAAGTGTGTATTCAGATACAAGCCTTTATCTCAATACCTTCCTTACCCCCATTCCGCACATATCTCATACCAAAGTACAAATAAAACCATTCCCAATTGTTCTAATATTTCATTTGATTTCTTGAGTCATGAAATGAAAATGTGGAGGGGTTAGTCATGTGAAGTGGCTGTGACTCAAATATCTTACGATGATATTTGTGCGCGTCTCATGAGAAATCATTGTGTTTCCACCTGAACTTGTTTGCTTGACTGCCTGAGAAGATAGTGTTGCTAACCTGAGAAGTTAATACGCTGCCTTAATGCTTGGGCTGGTAGAAGTGAGGGAGGGAAAGGAAGAGAACAAATGTGTCTCAGTGAACTGGGGCATGACAGAAATTTAATAAGAACAGGTTGAGACAAGTGTTAAATACTGGAATCCCCCGGGAGCACAGCGATAGCTTGGTCCTTGTCAAAAAGTGTACTGGTTGGAGCTCAGGAGGGAAAGAGAAAGTGATAAATCAGCCATGTCTTGAAGTCCATTTTAATTTAGCTAGCCTGCGAGAAGAGAGGGCTGAAATAAACTATCAGCTCTGTCTTCTGCATTAAGCAAGCATAATTTATTTGAAAAACATTCAGTTTTATTTCTAGCTAGGCTAGGAGTTCTTGTAACTTCTACAGAGGGTTGGGAAGAAGATCGGCATAACCCATGCTTACTATTTGAAGTTACTGGTTCTGTTGTCAGGAGGTAATATTATATTGTTGTCTTGTAAAAGAAGTATTTGATAAGTATGGGACCTCTTAATTGGGCACAGATTGGATTTCTTTTACATTTTGCTTTGAAGAAGTTATTTATAAAGGGATCGTAATAGGGTAATTTATATCTTTTTCTAACAAGTTCTAGTTTGAAAGTATTATAAATCTACTTACCCAGACACAGACACATTTGAACATATAGATAACAACCACCTCTGTTAAGAAATTAATGTACACATTTCCAAATCTATCCCTGAGTTTAGGCGATCCAGGCCATGGGTCATAAACTATGAGAGCCACCTAGTGGGAAAATTTGGTAATTGCACCTATATCTTCAAATTCTGGGTGTGAGAGCCACAGATAATTTCTGTTTATAAAATCTTAGAATACCATGGGAATATTTATCAACATGATATGAAAGTGACAGCGATTTTTATATATTCCTACTATTATAAAGATGGTAGGCCCTTAGGCTAGGAAGTAGCTTTCTTAACTTGACCTAGTCATCACAGTAATGATAGACTTTTGACCAGGTGAGGAAGGGAGGGTGGGGTGTGCCACCATGTTGCCTCACTTTTGGGCTTTCTGCTTTGGATACATATGAAAAAACCAGAAACCAAGTCACCTAGGAGGCGCTGGCTGGGAAAAAAATGGTGCCCACTGTTTGTAGTGTGTCTGTTAGGTTGTAAGCTAGAGAGAGATGCTTACACTCTAACTTTTTTTTTTCTGAAGAGATGAGCTCTCACTATGTTGGCAGACTGGTCTTGAACTCCTGGCTTTAAGCAATCCTTTTTTTTTTTTTTTTTTGAGACGGAGTTTCACTCTTGTTGCCCAGGCTGAAGTGCAATGGCACCGTCTCGGCTCACCGAAACCTCCGCCTCCCAGGTTCAAGCAATTCTCCTGCCTCAGCCTCCCAAGTAGCTGGGATTACAGGCATGTGCCACCATGCCTGGCTACCTTTTTGTATTTTTAGTAGAGACAGGGTTTCTCTATGTTGGTCAGGCTGGTCTGGTCAGGCTGGTCTATGAACTGCCGACCTCAGGTGATCCGCCCGCCTCGGCCTCCCAAAGTGCTGGGATTACAGGTGTGAGCCACCGCACCTGGCTCTGATTAAGTCTTCTTACACTGAAGCTGCTGTGTTGTCTGAACAGAGCCTCAATTAAGAAGTGACTGAAGCTTTTCCCCTCCCTCCCTCTCTTCCTTTCTTCCTTCCTTTCTTCTTTGTTTCAACAGTTCTGGGGAAGTACTAAATATTAGACCAAAATTAAAACCTGATACCCACCGTACTGAGTGTTTGCTTAGAAAGTTCTTGTTTGTTTTTGAGAAGCACTAGGAGTTAATGGAATGGGTATTTAGTGGCCTTTGGATTCTGTAGACTCCTAGCTCTCTGCCTCCTATGTGTAAGGCCTTGGACATTTCTCTTAACCTCTCTGAGACTGAGCTTCTTCACATGCAAATGGACTCATTTACCTTCCAGGAGCACCTCTGTGGGAGGGGGATGCACCATGTGAAAGAGGTAAGCCCTAAGGTGGAGGCAGAAGCAAGTGGCCAAGGGAATACAGGAGGCTAATTTTGACAGGAACTGTATGGGAAAAGGTGGCCTTTGTGTTGAGCCTAGTAGAATGACTTCAATAGGCAGTTTTTATTCATTCATTCAACAAAAATTTATTGAGATCTTATTATGAGTCAGGCACTGTTCTAAGTGCTGGGGATATACCAGCAAACAACAAAATAGAAAAAAAAAAAAAAAACCCAAACCCCACCCTCCCTGAGTGTACATTCTAGGGGGAGGAGCCAGACAGTACATAAAAAAATAACAAAATGCATTCTTCAGATGGTGAGACACACTGGGAGAAAAATTAAAACAGGGTTAGGGGAATAGGAATCACATAAGGAGGGCTCTATTATACAGATATGGTAACTTTTGAGCAAAGAATTGAAGGAGGAAAAGAATGCGCTACAAAAGTCATCAGAGGGAAGAGCAATCCAGACCAAGGAAACAGCCCTAAAGTCCAGGGCAGGCATGCATGGGGTTCATGGAAGGACAGGGAGGCCAGAGCTTTAGGAGGGAGATGGTCATAGGGGTTGGATGGGGAGCAGCACACCTAAGGCCTCCCAGGCTATTTCACAGATTTTTGCTTTGACTTTGAGTGAGATGGAAGCCATTAGAGGGAGTCCAGTGAAAGGAGATGCATATTCTCTGACTTACCTTTGAAGAGATCAACCTGCCCAGCGTGCAGAACACAGATGGGGCAAGGCAGGGGAGGGCTGAGGGCAGAAGCATGGGTAGGTTAGGAGGCTGTTGTCTTGGTCTAAATAAGAGATGAGAGGGCTTGAAGCGGGGTTTCCAGGACTGTGCAGGGGCTGGGGAGAGTCAGCTGTGTGACAAATGTTTCAGGCCCACACAAGCATCAGCAGCTCGATGCCTGTACGAAATGGGAAAATGGCTTTTGTCCAAGGAATGGCGTGCAGGGTGGTGTGACTGGCTGAGTTGGGCTAAAGAGGGGGAACTGGGAGATGGGCTAAGGCTGGAGTCAGCCTCGGTGACCAACTACACTGAACTTTCTTTCTTTCTTTTTTTTTTTTTTTGAACTTTCTTCCCTATCTAACCTGGAACCAGTAAAATTTTGAATATGGGAGACACGTGCTCAGAGGAGCATTTTGGGCTCTGGTGGCTGAATGGGGGAAGAGCTGGAAGAGGCAGCGACTGGAATCAGAGAGATAATGATCCAGGGAAGAAACAGTAAGAGCTCAAACTTGGGCAATGAGTGGATAGAGGGAGGCGATGAGTGACATTTCACTTGTAGTATGACAGGGTATGTTGGCTGCTTAGATATAGAGGTGAGGGAAATTAACCAATAACCATATTCAGATTGGTAGTTATATTTTTGGTTCAAAAAAACCTTACCTCAGTGTGAAAGTAGGGGTGCTGGAAATAAATTTCTGACCTCTGGGAAAATGCTTTAGAGACAATGGTGACGAATTAGGATTTTGTTTGGCCGATGGGAGACTTTGAGTGATGGGGTTGGCAATGGAGACTGACAGGCAGGGAACCAGAAAAGCCTGGATGAGGATTGTTGAGAAAAGGTCAGGAAGCAGGCAGAGTCATTCAGATGCTCGGGAGGACAGCATTGGTTAAAAACGGCCAAGATACGGAAGGGGCATTTATGAAGATTTGCAGTGGGCTGTGGGATGGAATGCATCCTCCATCTCTGTCCCCCAGCAATGCCTTCTGTAAAAACGATATCATCATGTGGTGCTTTTGGATTTAGAGTCTTGATTTTCTTGGAAGGATGGGATACCAAAGACTAAGGACAGTTACCCATGACTAAGGCAGTCTTTTTGTTTTCCTCTGCTGCTTGTCACCTGGTAGAACAAAATGAATGAAAATTTTAGTTAAGTCCTGATATTTTTCTTTCCTTTCCTCTGTTTGATATGTTCTCTTCCTGCTGTCTGCTCTTCTAAATCCTCCTATTTTGCTCTATGTTTCTGCTCTGTGACATGAATTTCACTTTGTATCTCCTAATAGTCTAGCGGGATTAAAAATAAAAGTCACTTTCTGATGGTGCCTTTGCTCTCCAGTTCTCTCCAGCAGCACCGACACCTTCCGCCGTCCTCCCTGAAGGTCTGGCCTTCTGCCAAAAGGTTGTATTTGTTCAGAAGGTGCTCTGAAGTTCACTCAGTTCTTTACTCAGTTATTTACTGGTCTTTTATTTCCTCATGAGGATTTGTTCTGTTTTTCTTCATCACTCTTCTTTCAGCTTGAAATGCATCCCTCACTGCCTTTTTGCAACTTTCAGAACTAAAATACATAAATAAAACAAACAATAGGATAATAGAAAGATAGCCCCTTATTATCGTAATGTTACCTTTATCACCAAGTCTTTATGAAGCACCTAATTGTAAGTGGCTGGTGAGGACAGCAATGGACAAACATAACTACTTTAAGAAACTCTCATGGCACTTAAGGAGTTAAGAGTCTGTCACCAAGAACCATGGACACTCACATGCAATGGAAATGACAAAATGTCCCGATTTTCTTGGGTAAATCAAAGCCTTTTGGCTTTGATCCCTCAGCTTTTACTAGCCATGCAATCTTAGGCAATTCTGTTGATTTCGTTTGGCTTTGAGTGGGGATAATAAGATCTTATCTAAAGTCAAGGGCAGGACTACATAATCTCCCAAGTGCCCTTTAGCATTAAGATCTAAAATTTTGTGAATGCTATTGTATTAGTCTCTTTTCACGCTGCTGATAAAGACATACCCAAGACTGGGTAATTTACAAAAGAAAGAGGTTTATTGGACTTACAATTCCACGTGGCTGGGGAGGCCTCACAATCATGGCAGAAGGTGAAAGGCAAGAAGGAGCAGGTCACATCTTACATGGATGGCAGCAGGCACAGAGAGCTTGTGCAGGGAAACTCCCCCTTATAATACCATCAGATCTTGTGAGACTTATTTGCTATCATGAGAACACTATGGGAAAGACCTGCCCCCATGATTCAATTACCTCCCACTGGGTGTCTCCCACAACACGTGGAAATTCAAGATGAGATTTGGGTGGGGACACAGCCAAACCATATCAGCTATTTACTTGAAGTTCTCAGAAACAAAGTCACAATTGATCCAATATAATTTTTTTTTCTTTCTTTTTTTTTTGAGATGGAGTTTCACTCTTGTTGCCCAGGCTGGAGTGCAATGGCACAATCTTGGCTCACCACAACTTCTGCCTCCTGGGTTCAAGTGATTCTCCTGCCTCAGCCTCCTGAGTAGCTGGGATTACAGGCATGCACCACCACACCTGGCTAATTTTATATTTTTAGTAGAGACAGGGTTTCTCCATGTTGGTCAGGCTGGTCTCGAACTCCCGACCTCAGGTGATCCACCCGCTTTGGCCTCCCAAAGTGGTGGGATTACAGGCATGAGCCACTGAGCCTGGCCAGATCCAATATAATTTTAGAATTCTTACTCTGAAGAAGAGTTCAGAGATAAGAAGGCAATACTAAAATGAAGCCATATATAAGGCATAATACAGCCTTTAAGATGCACATTGCTGTGTGGAAAAGTTAGAACAGGGCCTTTATCTGCATGCCTCTCTAGGCGCCTCTGGGACAGAACATTGATAGCTGTTTTGCAGTTCTTATATGAACCAGCACCGTGTCAAGCCCTTCACATACATTGCCATTCAGTCTTATAAGAACTCATGTGGTTTGCTCATTTTGCTGATAAATAAACTGAAATCAAGGTTATTCAGCTAGGAATAGTCAAGGTGACCTTCAAACCCAGAAGTTCTGACACCAGAACTCACATTCAGTTGCTGCATTTAACTCTCATCACTCTGTGTAGACACAAGGAATCTTATTTATGCAAAGGCTTTGGTAGCAATGGCTAGGTTCTGAAGACTCTGGGGTTTAGATGGTGCACAAAGTAAAGAAGCATTAAAGAATGTTGCCTCATTGGATGCCTGGAAGGCAGGGAACTTGCATCCAGAGTTGGAGAGAATGCAGATGTGTGAACTAAAAATGGGACACAGGTCTTGCCATCCAGGAAGTTTTCTCAGGGTGTCTGCTTTCTGAGATACCCATTGAAAGTGTGTCATCTATGGGGAAAAAAAGATCTGTGTGATCCCTTAAAGACTTGACTACCTAAAGCTGATGGAAAGAGCACAGTTCTTAGAGGTAAGACCTCTCCTCTATGGCTGGGAGCTGCAGGAGGCTGGTGGCAGGTCATGGGCAGGCTGAGCAGCGGTGGAGATGGACAGCAACAGCAGGCAGCAGAGCTGCTGTGGGAGCAGAGTCCGGGACAGCTGTGCAGGGGCTGGATGCCCATGAGAGGGCTAGGTCTGGAGACCCACAGACCAAGCTGGCAGGGCGCACAGGGCCTAGTGCCATTGCAATGTGTCATTTGTCCCCCAGGCTGGGGGGACCTGGGGAAATGACTGTACAAATTCATCTTTTATGTATAAAACCTCTTCCTCCAAACTGGGCTTGAGAAATGTGCTGGTCTGTTGCTGTAGCTGCCTTACCAAAAGGTGAGTTCTAATTTTTCTGTTATACTTGATATTGACAATGAGCCCCATGAGCTTCTGTAAGGGGGTGTTTTTTGCTGACCATACCCGAGATGGCTATGATGTAGTCACATAGGATGAGGTGCCTCCTTCTTCCTCAGAGTGCATCAAGCCCTCCACCTTACAGTGATGACAGGAGACCCAGGAGTTCACTCTAACCCTCATCTGGTACTCCCACCCCCATCCTGTTATGTCTCTGGGTCTCCTAATGCTTATTAGAGTCTAGGTCTGGAAGAGGGTGGGAGCCCAGTTTGACGGCTGCAAAGTAATTGCCTTAAAACCCAAAAGCTGGGTGAAGCTTCATGCCTCCTTTACGGCTAATGATGACAATGCATGCTGCTCACTGGCCTGGCTAACCTCAGCACTGGACTACTCTCTTTCCCCAAGGTCATACTCAGTGGAGGGCGCCACGTGGACTAGGCTGGGTTTTAAGTCAAAGTGCAGTGTGCAGAAGGATGCAGGGGTCTGATATGGCTGCCCAGGGTTGTGGGGCATCAGGGTGCTGTGGGCTGGGCTCAGCTCAGAGAGGCTCAAGAATGCCAAACTCCGTGAGCTCCCTCCAGTAACCAGGAGATGCTGAGACCAGCATCTCCTGGTGGACACTATGCCAAGAGCCTGTTTCTATAGAAAGCTACTCTGCAGTGGAAGTGTTTCCGTCACCCAGGAATACTGGGTGACAACCACGAAAGCTTGTGTGTCCAGAATTGTTGGGTTCTTGGTCTCCCTGACTTCAAGAATGAAGCTGCGGACCCTCACGGTGAGTGTTACAGCTCTTAAGGTAGCGCGTCTGGAGTTTGTTCCTTCTGATGTTCGGATGTGTTGAGAGTTTCTTCTTTCTGGTGGGTTCGTGGTCTCGCGGGTTTCAGGAGTGAAGCTGCAGACGTTCGCGGTGCGTGTTATAGCTCTTAAGGCAGCACGTCTGGAGTTGTTCGTTCTTCCCAGTGGGCTCGTGGTCTCGTTGGCTTCAGGAATGAAGCTGCAGACTTTCGCGGTGAGTGTTACAGCTCATAAAAGCAGTGTGGACCCAAAGAGTGAGCAGCAGCAAGATTTATTGCAAGAAGCGAAAGAACAAAGCTCCCACATTGTGAAAGGGGACCCCAGCGGGTTGCCACTGCTGGCTCCGGCAGCCTGCTTTTATTCTCTTATCTGGCCCCACCCACATTCTGCTGATTGGTAGAGCCAAGTGGTCTGTTTTGACAGGGTGCTGATTGGTGCGTTTACAATCCCTGAGCTAGATATAAAGGTTCTCCACGTCCCCATCAGATTAGTTAGATACAGAGTATCCACACAAAGGTTTTCCAAGGCCCCACCAAAGCGGCTAGATACAGAGTGTCGATTGGTGCATTCACAAACCTTGAGCTAAACACAGGGTGCTGATTGGTGTGTTTACAAACCTTGAGCTAGATACAGAGTGCTGATTGGTGTGTTTACAATCCTTGAGCTAGACACAAAGTTCTCCAAGGCCCCACCAGAGCAGCTAGATACAGAGTGTTGATTGGTGTATTTACAATCCCTGAGCTAGACATAAAGGTTCTCCAAGGCCCCACCAGAGCAGCTAGATACAGAGTGTTGATTGGTGCACTCACAAACCCTGAGCTAGACACAGGGTGCTGATTGGTGTGTTTGCAATCCCTAAGCTAGACATAAACGTTCTCCAAGGCCCCACCAGAGCAGCTAGATACAGAGTGTCCATTGGTGCACTCACAAACCCTGAGCTAGACACAGGGTGCTGATTGGTGTGTTTACAATCCCTGAGCTAGACATAAAGACTCTCCACGTCCCCACCAGACTCAGGAGCCCAGCTGGCTTCACCCAGTGGATCCCGCACCAGGGCTGTAGGTGGAGCTGCCTGCCAGTTCCGCGCCATGCGCTCGCACTCCTCAGCCCTTGGGCGGTCGATGGGACTGGGCACCCTGGAGCAGGGGGCGGCATTCGTCGGGGAGGCTTGGGCTGCACAGGAACCCACGGAGGCGGGGGAAGGCTCAGGCATGGTGGGCTGCAGTCCCGAGGCCTGCCCCGCGGGAAGGCAGCTAAGGCCCGGCGAGAAATCGAGCACAGCGCCGGTGGGCTGGCACTGCTGGGGGACCCCGTACACGCTCTGCAGCCGCTGGCGCGGGTGCTAAGCCCCTCACTGCCTGGGGCCGGCAGGGCCGGCCGGCCGCTCCGAGTGCGGGGCCCGCCAAGCCCACGCCCACCCGGAACTCCAGCTGGCCCGCAAGCGCTGCGCACAGCCCCGGTTCCCACTCGCGCCTCTCCCTCCACACCTCCCTGCAAGCTAAGGGAGCCGGCTCTGGCCTTGGCCAGCCCAGAAGGGGGCTCCCACAGTGCAGCGGCGGGCCGAAGGGCTCAAGTGCCACCAAAGTGGGAACCCAGGCAGAGGAGGCGCCGAAAGCAAGCGAGGGCTCTGAGGACTGCCAGCATGCTGTCACCTGTCACTTGGGCACAGCTTTTTTTCCTGGCAATTCTTTTCAACATTTCTGTTTTACCAGTATTTTTTTCAATTATGTAATGAATACCTGCATATGTTCTCTTTGTACACATTCCAGCATTACATATAAAGCAGAAATGCACCTTGACTACCATTCCTGATTCAGTCCCCTGGGTATCAGTTTATTTTTAAACTTTCAGACTTTCCCCCATGCTTTTTCTTTCTCTCTCTCTCTCTATAATTACACGTAGCATGTTTTTATATGTATAGATTTTTATATAGTTGATATCAGCTGTACACGCTATATACATTTTTCTGAAACAACTTTCTTCACTCAGCTGTCTTGGAGCTTTCTCCATATCTAGATTTAGCTAATCCTTGTAACTGTGGCGGGGTATTCCACAGTATAATATATCATATTTTATGTAATTAAACATAATGTGTCTGGGCTGGGTGTGGTGGCTCACACCT
This sequence comes from Homo sapiens, assembly GCF_000001405.40. NCBI lineage: Eukaryota > Metazoa > Chordata > Mammalia > Primates > Hominidae > Homo > Homo sapiens. The sequence continues at coordinate 143,425,422 of NC_000007.14, forward strand.
GTAATCCTAGCACTTTGGGAGGCGGAGGTGGGTGGATGGTTTGAGGTCAGGAGTTCGAGACCAGCCTGGCCAACATGGCGAAACCCGATCTCTACTAAAAATACAAAAAATAGCCGGGCATGGTGGTGGGCACCTGTAGTCCCAGCTACTCAGGAGGTGGAGGCTTGAGAATTGCTTGAACCTGGGAGGCAGAGGTTGCAGTGAGCCGAGACGGTGCCACTGCACTCTAGCCTGGGTGACAAAGCAAGACTCCATCTCAAAAAAAAAAAAAGATACTGTGTCTGGACCAATGCCTCCTTTTACAAAAATATTGGGGGAATGACCCCCATAATATGGTGAACTGAAATTCATAAACTATATTAATTTACCTAAAATGATTAAAAATCAATATGATGTCCTAATTGAATATAAGAATATAAAGGAAAGCAATTTATAATAAAAATAATTTGCATTTTGATATATAAATCATTCACATTTGATAGGTATGTGGTACACTGTAGTAGATAACATAATGACATAGACAGGTGCTTGCCCCTATATGGAGACACAAGGGAATGTGACAGATCCAAATCCAGACAGATTTAGGTGTGTTTTGTTACTGATTTAAATAATGTGTGTGATGTTGCCATCAACTTCATGATTTTTCTGAGATGATAAATAACTCATGGTAAAGATTCAAATTAAACAAAATTCCAGAGTCTTTCAATTTATTTGATGGTTTCATTTTTAGAAAAGTCACTGTATATTAAAAGTGTGCAAAAATTACTTTATATATAGTGTAGTTAAATTCTTGGCTCAGATGTTTTTCGCCCACATGAATGCCTGGCAGGACACCCAAAGTCCTTGCTGGATGGGGGAAAATTCTTCATTTTTTGGGGTCCATCCTGGCTGAAACCAATAAATGTCAATAGTAATCCCGAAGACGGTGACCACCAAAAACACTCACATAAATTTCCTAAGTACCTTTTAGAGGGGGGCACTATTCACATTAAGAACCAATGATTTAATGATAATGCTTATGCTTTCTCCCCCCTCTAGATGTTTTCACAAGGAGCACTTTTCTCTAAGCCTTTTTGTGCGCATGTTGCAACAATTCCTCAGGGAAGAATATTGTTTCAACTTAGGTGCTCTCACTAGGTGGGGGCATGAAGTGTGACTTCTCCAGAGGATGGCTGTTTCATTTTCTGTTTCTCTTCTCTATGTGACCTCCAGACCTGGGTTGGAGCAAATTCCAGTTCACTCAGAAAACCCAGAGCTATGACCTTTCTTTTATCTATGGGAATCCAGCCTTCCTTAGGGGAGGTAACCCTTACTGGGCCTTCTCAGAACAGTGTTTCACTCATGATTTCAAAGAGCTCACCCTACTCTTCCAAGAAGGCCCTCCTCAGCTAGTCTGACTTGTTTGTAAACTAAACACATTGTGAGGTTTAATCTCTGGTAAGACAGCCCTTTGGTGGGGATGCCACCACTTAGACAAAGATCAGATTCAGAATAAGAACAAAATAAGCAGAAGCTATTATTATTAGATTCATTGATTAGCAAGGTATCTTAATTTAAAATTGTCAGTAGCTTGAAGGCATTTCTTGAAGAGATGGTAAAGTTGGACTTCGTCCCAGAGAGACTGATGAAAAGGAAAGAGGTAAGTACTGAGAAAGAGAGAGAAAGTCAGAATCCTGGAATCTTAGGCTGGCAGGAACTTTGAAGATATCTAGTTTAAGGTCTTTGATGCCCATTGCAGGATTCAAAATATTAAGACGATGCTGTTATGAGATTTGAGATATGTTTGTTAGTAAGAAATAAAAATACCTCCTTCTTTATTTATTATTTTTATTTTTATTTGAGATGGAATCTTGCTCTGTCACTTAGGCTGGAGTGCAGTGGCGCGATCTCAGCTCATGCAACCTCTTCTTAAAGGGTTCAAGCGATTCTTCTCAGTCTCCCGAGTAGTTGGGACTCGAGGCATACACCGCCATGCCTGGCTAATTTTTTATTTTTATTTTTTTATTTTTAGTAAGGTCAGCGTTTTGCCACGTTGGCCAGGCTGGCCTCGAACTCCTCCTGACTTCAAGTTATCCCCCAGCCTTGGCCTCCCAAAGTGCTGGGATTACAGGCGTGAGCCACCGCGCCCGGGCCCTCTTTTTTTTTTTTATTATTTTTATTATTTATTTATTTATTTATTTATTTATTTATTTATTTATTTATTTATTTTTTGAGGCGGATTCTCACTCTGTTATCCAGGCTGGAGTGCAGTGGCGCAATCTCGGCTCGCTGGAACCTTCGCCTCCTGGGTTCAAGTGATTCTCCAGCCTCAGCCTCCCGAGTAGCTGGGATTACAAGCACATGCCACCACGCCTGGCTACCTTTTTCTTTTTTTTTTGAGACGAAGTCTCGCTCTCTCGCCCAGGCTGGAGTGCAGTGGCGCGACCTTGGCTCACTGCAAGCTCCGCCTGCCGGGTTCACGCCATTCTCCTACCTCAGCCTCCCGAGTAGCTGGGACTACAAGCGCCCGCCACCGCGCCCGGCTAATTTTTTGTATTTTTATTAGAGACGGGGTTTCACCGTGGTCTCGATCTCCTGACCTCGTGATCCGCCCGCCTCAGCCTCCCAAAGTGCTGGGATTACAGGCATGAGCCACCGCGCCCGGTTCCTGGCTACTTTTTGTATTTTTAGTAGAGATAGGGTTTCACCACGTTGGCCAGGTCTTGAACTCCTGACCTCAGGTGATCCACCCGCCTCGGCCTCCCAAAGGGCTGGGATTGCAGACATGAGCCACCGTGCCTGGCTACACACATATCTTTATATACCTTGCCTTATCAAATGTTCCTGACGTTGCCAAGTACTTCATATTACATTTGTACACATCAAATTTGAAAAAGAGGGAGCGATTTATCCTAGGTTACATATTGAGAAAGTGACAAAAGTATAACTGAAGCCCAATTCTTCTGAATCTAAATTATATGCACTTTGTAACAGACCAATGCTAAATTAATTTAAAATGGTAGAATGTCATGATAAATATTTTATTTTTATAACTTTCCTTGGAATGTCACCCTATTTTCTGATTCTTTTTACTTATTTATTTTATTTTATTTTTTATTTTTATTTTTTTTGAGACGGAATCTCACTCTGTCGCCCAGGGTGGAGTGCAGTGGCGCCATCTCAGCTCACTGCAAACTCTGCCTCCTGGGTTTGCGCCATTCTCCTGCCTCAGCCTCCCAAGTAGCTGGGACTACAGGCGCCCGCCACCGCACCCGGCTAATTTTTTGTATTTTCAGTAGAGACAAGGTTTCACCGTGGTAGCCAGGATGGTTTCAATCTCCTGACATCGTGATCCGCCCGCCTCGGCCTCCCAAAGTGCTGGGATTACAGGCGTGAGCCACCGCGCCCGGCCTCTGATTCTTTTTAATATTTGCCTGCATGGGCGTATTTACTCATTGTCACCTGGTGATATAAATATGAAATATTATGGGAAAAAGGAGAAACAGGGAAGGTGAGAAAACACTTGTTAGTTATTCAAAACAGCAATCTTGGTTTTGAAGTTTGAAGTTTAATCACTGAGAAATGGCACAGAAATAAAGCTGGTTTCTTTGGGTTCCATCAGGCAATGTGAAATATCGTGAAGCGAGGTGGTATCACGGAGTTCCATCCGGGGCAAATGTAGAATGGCAGCAGCTTCACTACATTTTTCTGAGAAAAACAGAGGCATAGACAGTGCATCTCATAAAAAAGAGCAAAACCTGGAGTGCTTACGACATCCTTAAACAGGATTACAGGAAAAAATGATGGATGTGAATGTGTTTAGCACAATGTCAGCTTCATATTAGATTTTTAATTAATGTTGGTTTAATTTGAGGTTGTATCTCTCTTCTGGAACTACTTAATATCTTGTGGTTTTTTTTTTTTTTTTTTTTTTCCTTCCTTCCTTCCTTCCTTCCTTCCTTCCTTCCTTCCTTCCTTCCTTCCTTCCTTCCCTCCCTCCCTCCCTCCCTCCCTCCCTCTTTCTTTTCTTTTCTTTTCCTTTTTTTTGGAGACAGAGCCTTGCTCTGTTGTTCAGGCTGGAGTGCAATGGTGCAATCTCTGCTCACTGCAACCTCCACCTCCTGAGTTCCAGCAATTCTCCTGCCTTAGCCTCCCAAGTAGCTGGGATTACAGGCGCCTGCCACCACACCCGGCTAATTTTTTTTGTATTTTTAGTAGAGACGGGGTTTCACCATGTTGGCCAGGGTGGTCTCGAACTCCTGACCTCAGGTGATCCACCCGCCTCACCTCCCAAACTTCTGGGATTACAGGCTTGAGTCACCGTGCTTGGCCTTGTGATTTTTTAAAATACATTTTTTTCTTACTTTTGTTCCCATTATCTGATGGAGGAAAAAAATGAACAAATCTATCAACCAACTTACCTGGGAGCCTGGTGCTCATTTCCTATTGGTTCCACATTCACTCCCTAGTCCTCCTGCAACCACTCTGAAATCCCTTCCTAGTTTTACCCAGCTGGAAATGCCACCACTTTAGCCATACTGAAGTTCTTCTACATTCTTCATTTCTGCATGTGCAGGCAAGTAAAATGATAGGGATTTCTGTGGGCGTTGTCAGGAGCTGAAAGATTGGGAATGCTTTTGAAAACTCCTTCTCCATTGAGTTTAAGAGGAAACGGGTGAGTTTTCCCATTATTTCGGTAGGATAGCAGATGCCTCTTCATTTACCCCTTTATTTTACCCTCCCATGCCCAGTTCTGTCCTACCACTAAGAGTGAGTACGTCGGTTGCCGCATTCTGGCCTTGTCCTAAGAAGTGTTTCACAATCTAACACCACCAATACTCCCCTCACCCCCGGTGCCTTAAGTAAGGAAGGACTGGGCTGCTGAGTGGCAGGTGGGGGCTGTCTGAGGATGGGAGGGGGAAATAAGATGGAACGGGGTGGACAGAAAAAAAATCAGGAGAAAAATTATTATTTGAGAAATGGAAATCTTGGATTAGGATTTTTTTTGCAAGATGATTAAGCCATTTTAGAAACATGACTCATATTGTCTTCTGCCCTTTCTTCCTCTAAGTAATTATGAAGAACACATACTTGGAAGATTTTAATAAAATTATGAGTAATATTAGATCACTTTAATTCCTGTTTACGGAGGACAGCAGTCAAGTACCTAACTGTGAGAGGAAAATGAATCTTTGCTTCTAGGAGGCACCATGATTTACGAAAACCAAAGAGGGCCAATTTGACTGTTTTTACTTGTACCCCTCTCCTTCTTGACTTTTCTCATTTTTTCTTAAGATTTTGTCAAAGTGATATATGCATCTAGACCAAAGAGCCAGGTATTTCTGCTTAAAGGGACATTTCTTTGTTTGTTTTTTTAAAAATAGAGGCTTTCGTTTCCATCCTCTTCCAATTCCTGTTTCCCAAGGCAACTACTTTCAACTCTTTTACCTGGTGTGTGTGTGTGTGTGTGTGTGTGTGTGTGTATGTGTGTGTGCATGTGCACGTGTATGTGCATGTGTGTGTGTGTGTGTGTGCTTTCCGCTATGGAATATGAACCTTTAGTTCTTCCTCACCCTCATTCCCCTGGCAAACACCTTCTGTCTCCCACTTTTCAATATAGTTTTATTGTAATGGTAAAATCAATATTTAGTGTTTAAAATATTATGCCAATGCAAATGCTATTCATGGTGAAACCATGTATTAAACTGCAATTAATTTTTCTTTCCTGTACACATTTTTGTTTCCATTGATTTAACAATTACCTTGTTTTGTTTGCTTTTTGTTCTCAATTCCATCATCAAGTATCCTCAAATTTTATTTGCCTGAGAAAATTTCTCCTGGGGCTTCATATCCTGCTCCAGTCTGGACTTATGCTCAGGCCTGATGTACCTCCCTCCATCCTGGGTCTGCCTTTACAGTCCTCCTGGTGGCCTCCTCCGCCTGTCTCTCACCTTTCACCTCATGTTGCCTGGACTCATGTCTTCCTTTATCATGCCTACTCTCCCGCTTTGGAGGGACACATTTTCCAGTATCCTCCAGAAAAAGAGAACATAAAAAATTAACTTTATTTGGAGACTTTGCTTGCCTGAAAAGCCTTTATTTTGTCCTTGTACTTGAGTATCCAGATAGAGAATTCCAAGGTAGAGATAATTTTCCTTCTGTATATTGAAGACATTGCTCTGTTGCCTTCTAGCTTCCAAAATTACTATGGAAAAGTCTAAAATAAAATTCCTAATATTATATTTTGAATTTAGTATTTTTCCTCTCCTTTTCCTCTCTAAAAGCTTGTAGGAACTTCTCTTTGTGCTCAGTTTTCTAAAAGTGTATGAAATGAGACAGATACTTGGTGAGTCTTTCTAATATGAAGAGTCGCGTCCTTTAGCTTTGGGAACTTTGCATCTATTTTGTTGATTTTTTTCCCACCATTTATGACATCTCTCTGTTTAGAACTCCTATTTCTTGGTTATTAGACATCCCAGATTGGCATTCTGTTTTGTTTTTAACCTATGGGTTTATTTGCTCTCTTTTCTGAGATATTTAATAAATTTTAGCTTTCAGCTCTTCTATTGACATTTAATCTCAGATATTGTCATTTTAATTCCAAGAACTTTCTTTTAAAAAATTTTGAGTATTTCTTTTAAACAGTAACCTGTTGTTTTGTATGTTATTATTATATTCTCATAACTCTGAGAATACTGATATCATTTTGGCAAAGCTTTCTTCTCCTTGCATTGTTTTCTTCCTCCAAATACCTGTTTTGTTTTGGTCTTATTTTCCATGCTAGGTGCCATTCTCAGATGTCCCAAGCTCCTCGTTGTCTGCTCCTGTGCAAAAGAGATGGAAAGGCTGATTGGAAACTCTGAACTCATGAATGGGACTTGTTAATTATGGGCTTCACTGTAAAGTGATTGGCTGGACTAATTATTTGAGGAATATCTGATATTGTCTTTATGTCTTCCTTTTAGAATGTTTGAGTTCTTGGAAAAGACGATACTCATCTGCCTGTAGGGTAAAAGCCTGGGTTCCGGAGTTCTAAAAACCATGTGAGAGGAGAGCATTTGCTCACCTAATGTCCCTGTCTCAGTATAGTACCCTTGTCTCAACTGTGCTATAGATACATCCAGCTCAGTGATCCCATTTTATCCTTTCCAGACAATACTAGGGTGAGAGAGTGGTGGTTGCCCAGGTATACAAAGTGATTTGGGAATCTGAATCTTAAACTGACTTTTAACTAGTTTTTCTCTAGAGGAACCTGGTATGGCAAATCTTGGGTAAAAGTCGGTTCATTCTTGACTTTTCCTTCTGCTTGGATAGAATTCTGTTTTCTTAGGGCTGTTGTATCTTTGATCACTCTTCTATCTATTTTATTTGGATTTATGCCTTAATTTCAATTTTTTTTTTTTTTTTTTTTTTTTTTTTTTTTTTTGAGATGGAGTCTCTCTGTAGGCCAGGCTGGAATGCAGTGGCGTGATCTCGGCTCACTGCAACCTCCACCTCCCGGGTTCCGGTTCAAGCAATTCTCCTGCCTCAGCCTCCCGAGTAGCTAGGATTACAGGCACATGCCATCATGCCCAGCTGATTTTTTTTTGTATTTTTAGTAGAGACGGGATTTCACTATGTTGGCCAGGCTGGTCTTGAACACCTGACCTTGTGATCTGCCCGCCTTGCCCTCCCAAAGTGTTGGGATTACAGGGGTGAGCCACTGCACTTGGCCTCAAAAATCTTTCACAGTTAATTTAGAAGAGTTTTGGGGAGCAAAGGAAAGAAGGTGGGTTGATGCAATCTGTCCTTACCCCTCTTGTTGACTTTGGATCTATCTATGGTAGCGGTTTAAAATTTGTTTCTTGCAATGGAGTTCTTTCTTTGAAATAGTATGTAGAAGCTCAGTATATAAAATACATATAAGCAGGACTGCTGTGTTTGAAAAGGAAATGAGGGTTTATGGTTCTACTTTCTCAGTTCTCCTCTTACCCTTTCCCTACCATGAGAACTCCCTGGAAAGCATAATTTGTAAACCACTGATTTAGAAATTATCGAACATAACTTATCCCTCCAGTAGATGTTAGACATTGAGTGAAGTTCATGGCATTATGGGAAGAACGTTTGATTTATTCCTTTAGAGATTAATTTTATTGCTTCTAAATGCTCGAATGGAGCAAGGCAAAGAGAAAGATTCATTCTAAAGATCTTTTAGTTGAAATAGAATTGGACTCAACTTCCTTGCAGGCTAACTTTATAATTACAAAAATAACTATCAAATGCTATTTTTTATTTGAGAGGAAAGTCTGTAGATTTACCTGAATATTAAACGATATTCAACTGTACATTCACATTTTGATAATGGAAGATGTTAGAAATTCCCAAATTTACTTTCAGAAAGCTAAAATTCTCTATTATGCCGGATTGCTATTACAGCCAATGTTTATTCTAAATTACTTACTTAAATATAAGAGTCAGAGGAAGTCTTCAGGGTGAGAAAAAATATTTAGGGCTTATCTTGCAGGGAAATCATTATTAAATTTGTGCATAGTTTAGCTTAACATTTATGTGCAGTCTAGCCATTAAAAACATTGTTATTTCCTTTTTCCTCCACCTTTCCCTGGAGTGGGCCATCAGTTACCCGATAAAGCCATGGAAATACGTGGAAGTATTTATGCAATGCACGTCACTCAAAGGTTCAGTTGGGAATGGGCACCAAGATTGAGAAACCTGTCAAATGAAATGTATTTTTGTATGTCTCTAAGATGAACCAAGAATTCATTCTCTAAGAATTCAAGAATGTATTCTTGAATGTGATAAGAAAAAGAAAATAAAAACAAAAAACAAACGAATCAACAGAAACCAAAAAGCACTTTACTGGTGTAGAGGACTAACGTGAGGGAAGTGCCAGTAGCTCTTTGCAGAATCTTCCATTTTAATCCAGTCTTCTGCTGTTACCTGTTTACCATTACTACCATTTCACAGAAGACTCAGACTTCATCCTAAAAAACTATCTCCAGTCATGCTGCAGAAAATAATTCGTTAGCTTCAGCTGCAGGAATGAGACACCTTTAAAAAAGAGAAATGTGACCCAAACTTTTGTGAGAAACACCTTGTATTTTGATTGCTATTTCACATTCGAAGGACTCTTGAAAAACAGAAAAAACCTAAAACATCATCTTGCTTATGGTATCTTTTGGTGGCAGACTATGAATGGGACATGGGACCCCCATAAGATATATCTAGTGAAGCACTGAGAGATGGATAAACAGGTGCCTGCGGGAAAGGTACTCTTTCAGCCTTCTTATAGAAGAGTATTGAAACAGGAGAAAATGTTTACTTTCTAGAGCTATCAACTGTAGAAAGGAAAAGTCCTGGGGAAGACTTGTTCTGGCAAAGTGCACGCTTTGGCACCTCTGCAGAGAACATGAAGTTTGCCCGCAAACATTAGATGTCTACTTGGTTACACGTGACCGCAACAGGGCGTGTGTACCATGGCCTCAGCTCGCTTCTTGATGACATCATGAATCTGGGCTCCGGCCAAAGGATTTTGAGACGAGCCAAAATGCTGTGGAGCATGCAGAAGCCACTCATTGCTGTTGTCTTCAAGAAGCCAGAGGAAGACATGCAAAGAATTAAAGAAAGACGCTGAAGCTGTGTTACAAAACAGTTGATCAGGTTGAATTATCCGCTCTCTAACAATCTTTTGAGAGTTCAATAAAAACTAGCAGCTCTTCAATTAGCCGGGCGTGGTGGCGGGCGCCTGTAGTCCCAGCTACTCCGGAGGCTGAGGCAGGAGAATGGCGTGAACCCGGGAGGTGGAGCTTGCAGTGAGCCAAGATCAAACCACTGCACTCCAGCCTGGGCGACAGAGCGAGACTCCGTCTCAAAACAAACAAACAAACAAACAAACAAGCAGCTCTTCAAGCAATTGCTATATTCGAGAGCTGAACCTCTTTTTCTTGAAGTCGCCACCACAAGTGTTTGTCCTTGTTTTTATTTCTCTTTAATCTTTCACACACAGGCCTCTCTCACCTGTAGAATCTTGAGTGAGACCATGGGAAGTAGGCAAGGCTATTTTCTGTGACTCATCTTGGTGGAGAGCCCTGACTCCAAGATCTGAGACATTTGCCAGGGGATTCCCTTCCCTGTTTTTCTATCCACACCTCTGCTTTCTTCTACCCTCCTTCTCTCTCTTCCCTCTTAACCCTTTTGTTTTTACTTTTTCCACATTCATAGGCATTCTTTCCTCAGTTGAACCTGTCCTCATGGCTCCCTGAGCCTGGGTTGGCTGATCTGAACCAGTGTCATTTTGTGTGGTTGGCGGTAAAGGCCAAATGTAAGATGTGTGAAATCACTTTAAAAATGACAAGGTGGGGCCCTATGCAGTGGCTCACACCTGTAATCCAAGCACTTTGGGAGGCCAAGGCGGGCAGATCACAAGGTCAAGAGATCAAGATCATCCTGGCCAACATGATGAAACCCCTTCTCTACTAAAAATCCAAAAATTAGCGGGGCATGGTGGCACATGCCTGTAGTCCCAGCTACTTGGGAGGCTGAGGCAGGAGAGTTGCTTGAACCCGGGAGGCAGAGGTTGCAGTGAGCCGAGATCACATCACCGCACTCCAGCCTGGCGACAGAGTGAGACTGTCAAAAAAAAAAAAAAAAAAAAAGACAAGGTGTTTCAGCAGGGTGGTTTTTACTATTATATATTCAGTATTGTTATAGGACAGGGCTCACTCCACATAAAGCAAAACTTCCCTGTGGCCCAGCTTTGCCCTGAGCTCCTCTTGTCATTCCACCAACTCTTGCTTCCCCCAGCTCCTATGGTGATGTCCCCTCTGGGTCAGTTTCCCTTCTCTGTCTTTCTCGTCTTCTCATTATGATTTATCTACTCTCTCTCATTTCCTCAGAGGCTTCTTAGGAACTGATTACTTTTGGTTGATCAAGCACTCTGGAGCCAAGGGGATAACAGTTAACAGATGATGGTAACATATCAGAGAAATCCACATTTTAACTGGAGATTCCATGAACTCCAATATGGAGCTTGACAGTGAAATTTTAGGCAGCATGAGAGGCCAGTGGTTAGGGGGCCTTTTCTTGGTAATGTGAAGCCTTGTGCATGCGAATGATTTTTCTGTTCCACCCATTCGGGAAGTGAGCTAAGGCAGTGTATAGAGGCTACTGAATAAAATATTAAGGCAGGACGTGAAGGGAAGGTTTTTGGTTTGGGGAGGGCAATAAGAGTAACAATGTCTTTTAAAGAAGAGTTAGGAAAGAAATAGTACAGTTAAGACATCATGTACAAAATGTGGGTATTTTCAGTCACCCCAGCAGCCTCTATTCTGTTAATGTTTCTCTGCATCTGGCTCTGAGAAAGGACAGGCAAATACAGGTTATGCAAATAGAGATGGTGTCATTGAGCTGGGAGTGATTTGCATGCCAAAGGAGATTGCAGAAATTATCTTTTCAAATTCTGGGGACTGGGGGTGTTTGCTGGTGGCTGGGATTTTCTATGAATCCAGGGACAAGGGCTTCTGAGTCTCTGGTGTCAACAAGGTGGCTTGACTCAGCCAGAGAGGCTGTTTTTCCCTGAAGATGTGTCCCAGCCCTCTGCAGTAGGAGCTGAGACTTAGCAGAACCTCCCTGGAGAAGATGCCCTCCTTGCCCACGTTGATCTTCATAGCCATCTTTTGCCTGGAGTCATTGGCTGCAATGCTGCAGAATGGATTCTTGGTCACAATGCTGGGCAGGGAGTGGGTAAGGTGCCGGATGCTGTCCACAAGTGACATGATTGTGGCCTGTCTCGCTGCCTCCCGTTTCTGCCTGCATGGGGTAGCCATGGTGAACAACCTCCTGGCCTCCTTAGATTTTTCGCGTGCAGTTCCCTATATGAACATCTTCTGGGACCTTTTCAATGCCCTCACTTTGTGGTTTACTGCCTTGCTTGCTGCTTTCTACTGTGTGAAGATCTCATCTTTCTCCCACCCCACCTTCGCCTGGCTGAAGTGGAGGAACTCTCGGTTAGTGCCCAAGCTGATCAAGGGCTCCCTGATCATCTGTGGCCTGGAAGTCATCTCATCAGCCACTGGGAACATCCTGTTTGGTCAGAGGAAGGTCTCCCTGAGTTCCTACAGAAACGAAACTCTAGTTTATAGAGTGCAGGCTTCATTTCAGCTCTACTTTTTCCTTTATGAAGGGTTTGTGTGGTCGATTCTGTTCCTCCTGTTCCTAGTGTCCACTGTCTTGCTCATAGTCTCACTGTGCTGGCAGTTGGGGTAGATGAGGGACCTCAGGCCCGGCCCCTGTGATCCCAGCACCCAGGCTTACACTATGGCTTTAAAGTCACTCACCTTTTCCCTCATCTTCTGTACATTGTACTTCCTGTCCTTGTTTGCTTCTGCTTTGAAAATCATAAACTTTCAGAATCACTGGCACTGGGCCTGGTAAGTGCTAATCTATGCCAACATCTGTCTGCACTCTACCGTCCTGGTGCTGAGGAGCCCCAAACTGAAAAAGGGCCTGAAGACATGGCCTCAGCTCCAGTGCCCACGTGCTGCTGGCTCACAGGGCTTTGGAAGGTGCTGGCCATAGGGTGGTTCTGCTCCTGAGTTATCTGTGTCAGTAACCAGTCCTGGGATGAATGATCCTGGTAGGAATGTATAAGGTTTGGGTACTGTCTTTCTCTTTCCAGTTTCTTCTTTCTCTCCCCCTCTGTCCATGCCTCAGAATCCCTTTTCCATCTTGCTGTCTGTGTTCTTACCATCCCCTCCACTGCTGTGAGTCTCTAGTCCTAGCCGTCAATCACCTTGACTTTTGCTGGTGGCCTCATTTCCTCATGGGGCCCCAAGAATCTATAGGTAAGCAACCCTAATATTTGCCAAGCATCATTTTGGTCTGTATGCCCTTTATAGAGAACTGTAGCTGTCGTCAGTTGTCTCTGTGGGCAAACTGAAGCTTATTTTTTATATATTTTATTTTAATTTTAAGATGGAGTCTTGCTCTGTTGCCCAGGCTGGAGTGCAGTGGCGTGATCTCGGTTCACTGCAGCCTCCACCTCCCGTGTTCAAGCAATTCTCCTGCCTCAGCCTCCCGAGTAGCTGGGACTACAGGCGTGTGCCACCATGCCTGGCTAATTTTTGTATTTTTAGTAGAGATGGGGTTTCACCGTGTTGGCCAGGCTGGTCTCAAATCTCCTCACCTCAAGTGATCCACCCACCTGTGGGATTACAGGTGTGAGCCACCGCACCCCACCTTGAAGCTTATTTTTTTATAGTGACATAGGTTGTCCAGCACCATCCACTTGACATCGCCTGCCCTTCTGCTCCACACCTGTTCTCTTGGCCTCGTCTCTCCACTTCAGCCCAATAAATCTTCTTCCCCTCTTCCCCCAAGTCCTTTTCTTCTTCATGTGCTTCTTGGGCCCACCCAATACTTCCTTCTTTCCTTTCTCTGCCAATCTCCGTCATTTTCTTCCTTTGTGCTCTGCTTAAGACTGATTCCACTCAGGGAGTTTTTCCAGCCTGATCTCACAGAAGGCTAAAGACACATAGGAGTTTGGTGCCACTGTATGTCACATCCATAACTTCATGTGCTCATGTCGAATGAATAGGAATTGTCTGATGTGAAAATGCTTTTAGGTTTTGGCCAACAGAAGATAGATGGAAAACAAAGGAAATGTCCTACACTTCTTAATTTTGATGATCCTACTCTTCCTGTCTGCTCACCCAGGAGGTGGATCCCAGATGCTGCTGCTGAGGATGGGAATCTCCAGATTGGGATGTCTGCATCCCAGAGCTTGTGCAAGATGATCCACTAGGCCTGTAGCAATTTCAGTTTCCATTTATTTTTATCTTTTTCTTTTAATCCCCTTTTTTTGGGTATTTTATGATGCATATGACGTATTAGTAAAATGTACATGCATATAATTAAAAATAAATATGCATATGGTAATATCTTAGTCAGCCTAGGCTGCTGTGACAGAATACCATAAACTGGGTGTTTATGCAGCAGATATTTATTTCTCACAGTTCTGGAGCCTGAAACTGAGGGTGCCAGCATGGTTGGGTTCTGGTGAGGGCCCTCTTCTGAGTTGCAGACAGATACCTTCTTCTTGTGTCCTCACGTGGCAGAGAGATTTATCTTTCTTGTGTTTCTTCTTATAAGGACACTAATCCCATTCATGAGGGCTTCACCCTTATGAACTAATTACCTCCTGAAAGCGTTATCTCTAAATGTTATCACATTGAGGGTTAAGGTTTCAGTGTATGAATTTTGGGAGGACACAAATATTCAATTCATAGCTGGTGGGTTGCATGTTCATATATATATATTTTACTGATGGAATTCATGATAAAGTATGGAGACCGATAGACTAAAAGAGATTGGGAAAAACACTGCACACAGTTAAGAGAGATTCATATGTTTGAACTAGTCAAAATAGAAGCAGTAAATAACAGGACAGAACAGAGGTTACAAAGAATTTTCAAATAGATAAATGCGTGTAAGGTCAAATGTCCAATAATACCAGGAAGCTGAGGCCCCAAAACATTATGCTACAATGCTAGCTGGAGGCCAGGATATGGCAAGAGAAGAGAGAGGGATGACTAGAGGCAAGATAACAAGATCAGGAATTTTCTCTTGCAAGAGGATGATTAAAGGTTTAAAAGAGGAGATTCTCAAGTTGCTGTTGAGGAACCCAGGGGGATTTCCCCAGGGGGTAGAGCAAGGGTGAGGCAGGATGGAGGAACCTGTGGGGAGCTGGCACTGTGGCCAGGCTTTAAATTAAATAGACACCTAAAGTCTGTGAATTATCCCACCTAGAGAACATGTATTATCCTCATCATCAATCACGAAGAATTTTTCTTTTTCTTTGTAGCAACATGAGTGAGCTAATGACTTCCTACAGGTAGATTAATAATAAATTATGAGACTGAGCCTTGCGGCTCAAGCCACAAGTTGGTTGGAGGCAGGAAAGACAGGAGCATGGCGGGAGCGGGGAGATCTTTCTCCTCTATCCCTTCTACTCAACTGTGAGCACCTGGAAGACTCTTCCCTTGGGCGGAGCTCCAGAAGTTTACTGAAGGTGTTTGGGTGGGGAGTGGGTGGTGATTCAACTCTCATGTTCTGCTCCATCTTCACAGCCCTTCGAGTGATACCAGGTTAAGTGGACTTGTCTCAGGAGTTCCTAATTGATGTTCTCAATCTCCTTTTTAAAACTCTAGCTCATAAAAGCCCCAAAACACTTGGTGGCTCTGTCTTGACTAAAGATACAATCTAATATCTCATCAAGGCTTCCAAAATTTTCTGTGATCTCTCTCCAGCCTACCTTTTTGGCTTGATATGCCATCTTCTCTATGTAAGTCCTCTGTTGTAGCTAAATGTATCTAATTGTTCTGGATATAATCATGTATCCCCCTCCTTTACTGATGCCTCATCTTTTTCCTTCCAACATGCAAGACAGCATCTTTATTGTCTCACAATTATGGGGCTGTTACTTCTCAACTCTTCTGAGAGATCTTGGGATGGGAATAGCAAGATCCCTAACACATAGAGCCACAGACTGGGAGTCACTTGTTGAGAGTACTGAGTTGAAGGTTTTCCATATAGAGAGCTAACTCAGGATCCCTATCCTACTACCCTCATGATTACATTTATAAAGACTGGTTATGAAAAGTTAAAAACTCTCAGACTTGACTTTTACCTAAGAAGATAAATCTAGACATGAGAAAGCCAAATGCAACAAACAAACAAACAAACAACAAACAACAAAAGAATCACCACGAAACACATTGCATATTTAAATTCAAATGATTATTCCCTCTTTTGGATTAACTTACTCTGCACATAGTATATGTCCAGTAAATGTTTGTGGTTTATGTTTAGCCCATAAAAGTGCTTTGAAGGCAGATATCTAATTCACTGTTGTAGCCCAATGTCTTTCAAAGGGTTATCATGGCATATAGGATATGCTTAATAAATTATTATTAAATGAATTGAAGGTTAAATGCACATCTTTATCATTGAAGGTGTGGGAGGTGGATGAAAAAGATTCAAGTTTTCCATATTGGGCGGTTTGTAGGTGGCCATACTCCAGAGCTATAAGCCCGAAGTTTGCCCCATTTCTCCAAGTTCCAGTAGAAAACAGCCAAATGTCAGCCAGAAGAACAAGGGCAAGGAAGAGAGCAGTTGGGAACTCTATCTCCTGGAAATTTGCATCTTCACAGAAAGGCAGAGTGAATTACCTTAGTTCATCTTATTTCCTTTACTCCGAAGACCTATGTCCACTATGGTTGGCGTATGTGTTAAAGAAACAATTCCACCTGGAAGTGGACTACTGGGAAGTAGACTGGGAACTGGGAAGAGATGCTGACATGCGTTCTATTCCCTTTTTGTGGGGGTCCTATATATGGAACTGGTAGGTTGTGGTGTCAGCAGATGTGTATTCATTACAAATCCCCTTACTGTCATGTTACTTGATCCTGAGCCTTCAATATTGCTGTATTTGACCCAGAACAATTCCTGCTTTCCTATCTCCCTGTGACACGTTAACCTACTTACACTCACCTGGGTGTTGATTGCTGATTTTTTTGACTCTTTGAAGCTGATTTCTATAAAGAATGTGGTCTTTTTTTTACTCTGTCCTTCTCTGGTTGATATCAGTGGTCTGACATTTGGTGCCCTGAACTTCTGTTGCATCCCTGATGCTCTCCTGAATTCTCCTTATGCTACTTATTATGCCACAGGATGGATGGAATAGAAGATAGCCATTCTAATAAAGTAATTGTCATCATCATCATTGCTCCTTGTCCATATGCAGAGGTTTATAATTTCCAATATATTTACCATATTTATGGTCATATTTATTTGTGACCCATATTTTTTATAGGTGAAGAAAGGGGGGTGTTCAGAGAGGTTAACTGCTTGAGGATCCGTAGTGATTGTGACAAGACTCAAAACTTGGGCTTCTGAGTTCAGCTAGGGATGAAGAAGATGGAGGTGTAACATGTATTGCTAACCATGGCAGAGATTCCTGGTCCTGGAATCAGTTTGGATCTTGGTCTTTCCTCTGTGTAACTGTGACTTTAGGTGGGAGTTGTAATATATAATTTGGGGTCTTATTTCTTTTATCTGTAAGATTATCTTTCATGTCTTCTTTCATTCTAAGCCGAGATTCTAAGACATCTTTGTGAATTAGAACATAGGATACTTTTCATATTTTACAGATGGACAAAATGAGGCGCAGAGGGGCTGACATATCCAGCAACTCACAGTAAGGGGTAAAGTTTGGACTAAAGGCTGTCTCGACTCCTAGCACAGGGCTCATTCTGCCATATCCCATTGGCTTATCGCTACTGGGGGTTCCTCTGTGAAGTGCTATTTTAGAGGCCACCAGTTATCAAATATATATTTTTAAATTTTGAAAAAAGTTGCCTGCCTCATTATGTATAATTGTCTCCAGTGTTCTTTTTTTATGATGATGGTCACTGTGAGTAATAAGACTTGAATTAATCCTTCTCTGTAAAGGTTTGCTCAGTTTTCTCTCTGTCTCAGTTAAAGGGGTCTTGCCATACTACTCCCCGCATAGAGTTGTTGTGAGAACTAAGGAGAGCACTCAGAACAATGCCTGCAACATAACAATCACCCCCCCCCCGTGGATGTGAGCGCTGTCTCAGTAGCGGGTGTGCCCCACGGATGATACTACTGAGCTGGCAGGTGCATGGTCCTGTCATAGGTGTCCGCTTAGAGAAGTATAACCTCCTGTGTAAGGACACTAAATGCCAGGGCCTGATATATTATCCACTTTGATGTTGACATGGGCAGAGAATAGGCAGAAGAGCAGGCAAATTTTTGGGCAGGTATGGGGACTTTGAAAATTGAGCCTTGACAATATTTGCATCTACTCTGAGAAGAAAAAACCTCTCACCCTCCTCTGATAGCCTGCGTCCTCTACTCTGGCCTAGCTTCTGCGCTTGGGGCAGCTGGAGGGACAAACATATCCTACAGGACCTTCCAGAGCAACCCAACAGAGATAGCCCTTGAAGTTTTGGGACCCATCTTGTCCACCAGAGAGATGAATGGAGACCACATGGTTCTAGGATCTTCGGTGACTGACAAGAAGGCCATCATCTTGGTTACCATTTTACTCCTTTTACGCCTGGTAGCAATAGCAGGCAATGGCTTCATCACTGCTGCTCTGGGCGTGGAGTGGGTGCTACGGAGAATGTTGTTGCCTTGTGATAAGTTATTGGTTAGCCTAGGGGCCTCTCGCTTCTGTCTGCAGTCAGTGGTAATGGGTAAGACCATTTATGTTTTCTTGCATCCGATGGCCTTCCCATACAACCCTGTACTGCAGTTTCTAGCTTTCCAGTGGGACTTCCTGAATGCTGCCACCTTATGGTCCTCTACCTGGCTCAGTGTCTTCTATTGTGTGAAAATTGCTACCTTCACCCACCCTGTCTTCTTCTGGCTAAAGCACAAGTTGTCTGGGTGGCTACCATGGATGCTCTTCAGCTCTGTAGGGCTCTCCAGCTTCACCACCATTCTATTTTTCATAGGCAACCACAGAATGTATCAGAACTATTTAAGGAACCATCTACAACCTTGGAATGTCACTGGCGATAGCATACGGAGCTACTGTGAGAAATTCTATCTCTTCCCTCTAAAAATGATTACTTGGACAATGCCCACTGCTGTCTTTTTCATTTGCATGATTTTGCTCATCACATCTCTGGGAAGACACAGGAAGAAGGCTCTCCTTACAACCTCAGGATTCCGAGAGCCCAGTGTGCAGGCACACATAAAGGCTCTGCTGGCTCTCCTCTCTTTTGCCATGCTCTTCATCTCATATTTCCTGTCACTGGTGTTCAGTGCTGCAGGTATTTTTCCACCTCTGGACTTTAAATTCTGGGTGTGGGAGTCAGTGATTTATCTGTGTGCAGCAGTTCACCCCATCATTCTGCTCTTCAGCAACTGCAGGCTGAGAGCTGTGCTGAAGAGTCGTCGTTCCTCAAGGTGTGGGACACCTTGAGCCACAGCTGATGAAAAACTTCAAGGAGATTCTTGTGGAGAAGGCATGGACTCAAAGGGACATAGCTTCTCTCTTTGCCACATTGAATGTTTTCTCTCTGTTGCTACAGTTAATGATTAGAAAAATAACTTCAATGAAATAGGATACAAGGTGAGAGTAAAGGTCCTGAAATATGGGCTAGTGTCATGTTATGTACTCACCAAGTGCATAGTTCATGTGGCCATGGTTCCTGTGGGACCTGATGTGGTCAAAGAATCCAGAAGCCTTTATTTTTCCTGTGATCGATCTCTTCGTATTTAAAATAATCATTCTGGGAACTGGATGCAAAGATCCTCAAACTTCATGCAATATTTTATCTGTTCAATCGAACTGGGGCATGTTTTTGGAACTGCAGTTTTCTCAGGCTTTGTCCTGTGAACCACCTTTCCCTTCTCATCAATTCAAAGTTTTCTGGCCATCTAATGTGGTGCCTCTCTCCTTCTTTCCATGGAAGAGTTTCTGGTGTCTAAACCTTCTACACAGAGCATAGTGTAATTGGTGCATGTGTGTGGCAGTGTGTGTTGCCAGGGATGTGTGTATTCTCCGATGACCTTTGGAGATCCCTCTGAGTGCCAGGGGTCTATGATTTGTATGTGGTTCATGTTCTCTATAATAGCCCAGCCTGTTAGTCTCCTCTGTATTTGTTAAGGTCTGTGGGTTCAGATGTAACTTCTTTTGATTGATATTGGGACCTATTGTAATTCCCCTACTGACATGGGGAAGTTTATCTGTATCTGTCTAAGACCTAAGATTTAAGAAGAAAAAGCCTTTGTGTTTGGTGAACCATGTTCAGACTGCCTTTCTGCTTTTCCCAGCTCCTCTCAAACGTTCTTTAAGTTCAGTTACTCCCTGAATCATTCAAACGAGACAACCCTCAAGTTTCCTCCATTCACTTTAAAATCTCTCCGCCTCCTTTCCTGGTTTTTACCTCCACCACACTCTACATTAGAGGACTGGTCTCTGTTTTTGGCTTTTCAAGGCTGACATCTGTGATCCTAGCCCTGCTCCTGCCTGTTTTCTCTCTGCTGCTAGGTCAAGGATTTCTACTTCTACACAAATCTTCCAACTTTCCCTCTTTATTGTCCTTCCCTTCTTCAACAAATGTGCCTCTAAACTTTTTTCCTGAAAACAATCCCCTTATCTGTCTCGCTCCTCCCCCTCCCTGTACCCCTGTGCTGCCAATGAGTCACTTGCAGGGTCTTCCCGTGTGCCTTCCAATCCTCTCCTGCTTCCCTGTTCTGCTGAAACATGTTTGTTTCTACAGGGACACACACGATCTCTTTGTCACTAAATGTGATATTGTCCCCAGCCCTTATCCTCCCATGTCTCTGTTGTATTTGCCTCTGTTGATAACAAATGATTTCCTTAAAATAAACTGATGAAAAATATTTTTACAAAAGTACTGCTGATCTTGGTGAAAGATTTTTTTAAAAGGGAAACTAAACCTCACCCATAATTGCCCATCTGCGCATCTTTCTAAAAGTTGTTCTCTTGGCGACGGATGCTAGGATCTTCTTCCAGTTCCCATCGCTTCTTTTTGTGTCCCCTTCACTAACCACTCATCCTCCTGCCTCTTGGTTCTGTCCTTAGCCAGCCCTCTTCTTCCTTTGAGATGATATCTGATCTCTTTCCTTTGTGTTTAAATCTACTCACATAGCTTCAATTATGCCCTTCATGTTGATAATTACCAAAGCCTTGACCTTTCTCTAAACTCCAATCCTATATTTTCTTCCACTAATTGGACATTACCACCTGATAGTACCATGAGCAAATTTAGCAAGTTCAAAGTATTTCCTTCTTCTTTATTTCCTCCTCCTCCTCCTCTACTTTTCCCTCCCTCCTCTTCCCACCAGCCCGTCCCCTGCTCAGATGAATCCATTCATCTATTACAGCTATTCAATAAATCAGGCTATCAACTTCTGAGTTAATTTTCACCCCCTTCTCTCTACTGAGCCCTTGTACCTAATAGGTAACCATTTTCAAATTTTACCCCTGTGATGTCCCCATCATCTGTCTCCTTCTTCCCATTCCTGATCCTTGTTGAGATTAGACTATCTTCCTCTCCCACCTGCACTGCTGAGATTTCTTCTTCACTACTTGCTTCATTTCATGGTTCACTACCACCGCAGTCAGAACTATCATTTCCAGATTAATCTCCTGAAGGTATATCACCCGAATCATCTCTCAGTGCCTTTTTTTTTTTTTTTTTAAGACAGAGTCTTGCTCTGTCACCCAAGCTGGAGTGCAGTGGCGTGATCTTGGCTCACTGCAACCTGATTTTGGTTCACTGCAAGCTCCACCTCCCGGGTTCAAGTGATTCTCTTGCCTCAGCCTCCTGAATAGCTGGAATTACGGTGCATACCACCATGTCCAACTAATTTTTGTATTTTTAGTAGAGACAGGGTTTTGCCATGTTGGTCAGGCTGGGCTTGAACTCCTGACCTCAAGTGACCTGCCTGCCTCAGCCTCTCAAAGTGCTGGGATTACGGGCATGAGCCACCACACCCAGCCTCTCAGTGCCTATTAAATGAAGCACAGGCCCCCTAAATGTGGCATTCAAGAACCTCCACAGTCTGGCAACAACTTTATCTTTCACTGCCATTCTAGTAGATCCTATTTTGCAGCAAATTTGGATTATTGTTCTGGGCATGCCTAAAACTTCCTCCCTGATATCCTGAGAAGCACTCCCTATTCCCCCATGTACCTGTCAAAAACCCTACTTAACATTTTTTTTCTGTTTAACTTTTATTAATTCAAATGGTGTCTCTTCAGTGAAGCTTTTCTGGATGCCCCCCAAGTCTTAAATCTCTTCCTCAGTTGTGACATTAGTCCTGCCTTTGACGCTGTTGTTTGCATAGTTGTCTCTTCCACCCTAGAAGATCTTAAACTTCTTAACGGCATGGGCTGCCTCATACTCTTCCATGCATCCTCTGAAGCACTTAACAAGTACTTGCGCTGAGCAGAATGGTTCTATAAGCTGGAATCCAGCTAGAATCACATGTACTTTTATCTGTACATTTATCTCTGGGGTACCTACTACATTTTTATGCCTATGTTTGAGCTTTCCCTTTACTGTCTGGCTGGCTTATCTTTTGGAAGTCACACTTTGACTTATGCACAATGTAGAAATAATAAATGGGTGAGTGAGAGAGTAAAATTTGCCTGATTTTATGATGTCTTTGACTTCTTTCTTGTACATTTGCCTGTTGCTAAGCAACTGAACAGCAGGCTTTCAGTCCTTCCTATGGGAAACTTAGTGGAGTGCCAGCTCTCCTCTTTGTTACTGACCCGATCTCCCTTTCCATAGCGTCCTACATAAGCTACTCTTTGTTCCTTCCACCGTTCACACCATTAGCCTAGGAGAACAGAGCATATTCCAGAATCTGAATGATCTCCCCACAGGGACAAGTTCCCTTGGAGCTTGAACACACAGGGAGAAGTAAAAGAGAAGCAAGGGTAGTTGTATTTTTAAAATATTTGGTAACTTATTATCATAAATTTTTGTCCATAGTCTAATCTCATCGTCAATTATGAGTTGTAATAAAAATTATGAATTATAATATAACTCATTATTACCTTCATTATATAATTATGAATTATAACATAATTCATTACTACCTTCATTATATAATTGTGAATTATAATAACAATTACTTATTGAACGTCTATTTTGTGTGAGGAACAGGACTAGAGCACTAATTTACTTAGTCTTTTATGTATTGTTTCTTAAAACAACAATGTAAAAAAAATGAGACTTAGAGAGGTTTACTGAGGTCTCATGGTCAGTGAGTGGTAGAATTTGGGATACTTTAGTGCTGTAGTATTTAAAACCGTGTGGTACTGATGTAGACAATAAGGTAATAGAATATAATAAAAGAAATGAATAGACAAACACATCAACAGACAGCCCAGACAATAGTTACATGAAAAATTACATATATGATAACTAAAGCATTTTAAATCAGTGAGGAAAAGATGGCCATTTAGTGTTGTGGTATACTGGTACTCCAATTGGAAAACCATAAATTTAGAGCTAACATTTAATCATAAATTCCAGATAGACATTCTTTTTTAAAAATTTTATTTACTTATTTTTAAATGTTTTTGAGACAGGGTCTTGCTCTGTCTCCCAGCTGGAGGAGGTGAGAAAATAAACGTTCATTCTCATATATTGCTGACATCAGCATAAACTGGACCAACATCTTTTCAGAGGACAATTTGGTAGTACCCCCAAAAGTTAACATGTACACCTTCCTACACCCAGCAATAAAAAAAAAAAAAAAAAAAAGGCCGGGAGCAGCTCACGCCTGTAATCCCCGCAGTTTGGGAGGCCAAGGTGGGCGGATCTCTTGAGCCCAGGAGTTTGAGCAACATGGTGAAACCCTGTCACCTGGGCAACATGGTGAAACCCCTTCTCTACAGAAAACTCAAAAATTAGCCAGGCGTGGTGGCACCCACCTGTAGTCCCAGCTACTCCAGAGGCTGAGGCAGGAGAATCACTTGCACCGGAGCACCCAGAGAACACCCGCGCAGACATTAGGAGAACTTGCAAACCCTACAACTGGTGGCCCCGCCGGGGATCAATATTTTTTTTTTATCATCAATGTTATAACAAAACGACATTATTCAAGGACCTGCTGTATAGACAAATAAGTTAGCTCTTATTGATAGTTATTAAACTCTGCACATGCCCAGAAAATACAACTTCTTTGCAAATATCAATGAAATAGTCATGAAAACTGAGAAAAAGAAAATTGCATAAAAGGGAAAACTACAACCGAATCTCACTTATGCATAGAAAATCCTAAATAAAATATTAGAAAACACAGTCCAACAGTGCATTACATATTATATCATTTCCAAGTAGAATTTAATCTAGGAATTTAATGATGATTCAATATTAGAAAAGTCATTAACATAACACATTGATACTTGTAAAAGAAATGTAATATAATCACCTCCAAATATGCTAAAAGGCAATTAAAAAATTTAATACTGTTTTGATAAAGTGCTCAATAATATAAATATTTAATAACATGAAAAAATATATCCACCTTACCCAAAAACTTGCAGCCTATATAATGTATCCAGAGACATTCTTATACAACTCAAAAATATGAAAGGAATGAGCATTATCATCACAATTTGTATCTTAATGGTGAAAACATTTGATTTAATTAAGAGAAACAAATTATAGTTATTGACATTGGAAAGGGGAGCTATATATATTCTTGTATAGTCGGAAAATCCAAACAATTAACATCAACATAAAAGCTACTACAGACCGATATGAACTTAGCAAGGTGGTGGGATGCAAAACAAAGATACAGAAATGAATATTTTCTAATATGCAAAAGAAACCACCAGTTAGAATAGAATGAAAGAAAAGATTTTATTGCAATAAGAACAAAAAAGATAAAATACTGGAATTAAATTTTACAAGAAGTGTATAAGACCGACCTGAAGGAAACTTAAAAATACTCAGAAAGACATGAAAGTCGACATGAACTAATGGAATCCTACATTGTCTTCTTAGATAAGAAGATTTGCTACCATAAAGATGTTAAGTATTCTTTCCTCTCTTCCTTTCTTCCTTTTTTTCTCTCTTTCTCTCTTTCCTTCCTTCCTTCCTTTCTCTCCCTTTCCTTTCCTCCTTTCCCTTCCCTTCCCTTCCCTTCCCTTCCCTCCCCTCCCCTCCCCTCCCCTCCCCTCCCCTCCCTTCCTTTCCTTCGTCTTTCCCTGTTGCCTAGGCTGGAGTGCAGTGGCGTGATCTTGGCTCACTGCAACTTCTGCCTCCCAGGTTCAAGTGATTCTTATGTCTCAGCGTCCCAAGTAGCTGGGACTACAGGCATGGACCACCATGCCCGGCTAATTTTTGTATTTTTAGTAGAGACAAGGTTTCACCATGTTGGCCAGGCTGGTCTTGAACACCTGGCCTCAAGTGACCCCTCTGCCTCGGCCTCCCAAAGTGCTGGGATTACAGATGTGAGCCATGGTGCCCGGCAAGATGTTAATTATTCTTAAGTTAATTTGTTAATTTAGTATAAGACCTACAAAGTACTCTTTTCCTCTTTTTAAACCTATAAAAATAAGACTAACATAGTTTAAGCTTATAGAAATTGAAAGAAGTCAAAAAAGGTAGGCAGGCTCTATTATGTCTTAAAATATAGCATGAGCCTCAAAATTTAAATATGTTTGTGAATATATACTGTAGAATAGATAGTCCAGAAAATGAATTCATATACATATGGTAATTTAATATAAATTCACTATAGATAAAAGTAATATTTCATATCAGAGAAAAATTCAGTAACTGATGTTGAGATAACAATAGTCATCTAAAAAAATGTTGCCATATCTCAAATCCTATGCCAGGATAAAGTCCAAATATATCAACGTTAAATGTTAAAATGAAACAACACAATTGCTAGGAATAAATGGGAGGAGAGGGATTCTTTTAATATCTTGGGATGTGGAAAGTCTTTTAAACTCATAAAGAAAAAGATTAATTTTAATTTTAAAAATTCTGCATGGCAAGAATTTATAAGAAAATTACAAAAAACAAACAAACTGGGAAAATAAATACTTGCAACCCATATTATAATAAAAATGTAATTTCCAATATATAAAGAGCTCTTAGAAATGATAGGTAAAGGATCAACAATTCAAAAGAAAAAGAGAAAAGGCAATAAATATGAATATGAACTTCACAGAAAAGGAAATACAAATGGCTCCTTAAACACAGAAAAGATACTCAACTTGATTTATAATAAGAGAAATACAAATTAAAACTATATTGGTCTACAATGTTTAAACTATCCACTTGGCAAAACTTTGAAAACATGCTCTTTTGCCAAGTTATTGGAGACACATGCTCTTTTCCACATTGCTGATGGAAGCATAAATTAGTATACTCTCTTTGGAGGGAAATTTAGCAATATACATCAAATTTACTAATGCATGCACCCTTGGATCCAGCCACCCTCCTTGGGATTTTGGTGCATTGAACACCCTCCATATGGGTCACAGTTTGGCCTCACTCTCTTGGACCAGCTGGGACATGAGACTGGTCATAGGTCTAGAAACAATGTGGGGTGGGAGTGTGATCATTTCAGGATCCGCAGTGCCTTGCAAAGAAACTACTTGAAGTAAGTCCCTTACAGGCCTTCTGGAGGAAAGAAGTCATCTATCTCCTCAGATAAAGTAGGAAGGGCTGCTTCTATTGGTAAAGAAGATTTGGCAGAACTTAGGAGTTCATGTTTCTAGTTTTACTGGAATCTGGCCATTTCTCTCCATCCCAGTTTTCTGGGCCAGACCCCTAGCTGATGAATATCCTAACTTTTTCAAGAGACCCAGCAAGGTTGGAAGTTCATGTGACATTGTAATTCATCCACCCACAGAACAGATTTTAGGTTTGTTTTTCAGAAATCTCAACTCCACAATAAGAAGTGAAAAGGGATTTTTTGTCACAGTCATAGAAATTTTCTGGTTGTTTGCTGGATCTTGAGCTGGGAATTCCAAGCCCTGCACCACCATTTTCTCTCTGTCACATTCTCTAGCATACTTGCAGGCACCAGCCATACCAGCTGGAAACTGCCTGTTCTGAAAGAGCTGGAATGACCTTTGGAATGTGCAGCTGAGGTACCAACTTCGAGATGACATTTTTTGTGGAGGTGAGTTGTTGTCCTTAAAATGTGGAATATACTGTAAACGAATGACCATTATTTTGTGCTGTGTCTCCAACACACAGACCACATGGGTCTAGGACTCAAGGAGTGGAAGTAGAAGTGGCCTTGCTCACCATATCTTCTGGAGACCCTCTTGGAGGATTCCTGCTTCCCGTGCTTTTAGCTTTATGCTTTGTATGCATAGAGGTTGGTTCCCAGAGTAGGGAGCATTTCCAAAAGGGGACACAAGAAAAGTCCTAATAAAATTATAGCTGCCACCTGGTCATTTTGAGCTCCTGATCCCAGAAGACCAGGAGGCTAGGAAAAGAGTTACCAACTCGCAGGAATAATTGACTGTGATCATAATGTGGAAATAGGGGCTGGAAAGAGTATGTGAAGAACTCATGTGACCATTGGGTCATCTCTTAGCACTTCTGTGGCCAATTCTACTACAAATAGGCGGGTACAGCAAGCACTGCTGATAAGGACATGGCAGTCAGGACTTAGATCTCTCAGGGATGAGGGTTTGGGACTTCTCATCAGGACAGCCACCTACACTGCATTACGTGCTAGCCAAGAGTAAAAGATATTTGGAGTGGGTAGTAGATGAAGACAGTGATGTGTATTAGTCATGGCCTCATGATCAGCTGCAGCAGTTGGGGCTGTATATAGTTTGCATCACTAAATCTCTCTCTGTCAGTTTCTCCAGAAATTTCAACTGGCCAGAATCCTGGAGAAGCTTTGACCAGGTGGAGTGAACCTAATGTGAGAGCAGGTTAGGTTAGTTAACATTACGTTAACTGGTGTATGCTAAAACTGAGTGGTACAAGGGGTAGATTACAACAGCTGCTCTTGGTGCACCCTCCCTCTAACCGAATCCACCGAATTTACAGGGTTGATATACCCATTGTCGCCTGCCAGATGTTGGCTGCTAATGACTGCTAATGGTTCCCAAGGATTGCCTTTGATTGATGGAAGCCACTCCACCCAAAGAAGTCTGATTGTCCATTCCCCTCTTTCTGCAGTTCTTGGCTAATGACTGTGTAATGCAGGCTTATAACAGTTCCACTTCCTTGCCTTCAAATGGGGCAAACTTTGGGGTCAAACTACACTCCAAATCTCCCCATGGGATCAAAGTGACTGTATATTGATCTAGAAACTACTTAAAAAATTTAGTTTCTTCTCTTCTTCTATCCTGTGTATCTTATTTTCCTATAGTTTTTTTTTTTTTTTCCTGAAAGGAACAACTCAAAATGTAACTTGCACAAGAATCTCCATCTCAGACTCTGCTTTTGAAAAGTGTGATCTCAGACATAAAGATGAGAACAATAGACACTAGGGACTTCAAAAGGAGGGAAGGAGTGGGGGCAAGGGCTGAAAAACTTCCTGTTGGGTACTATGTTCACTCTCTGGGTGACAGGATCAACAGGAGCCCAAACCTCAGCATCATACATTATACCCTCATAACAAACCTGCACATTTACTCCCTGAATCTAAAATAAAAATTGAAATTAAAATAAGAGACACATACAGAGCTTTACATAGTCTCACTTGAACCCCTGCTGGAGGCTAACAGGCGTGCAAAGCAAAAGACCACTCACACACACAAAAATTAAAATTAAAAATTAAATTAAAAAATAAATAAAAAGTGTAATCTAAGTGGTCTGATTTTCAGGCTATATCTCTGTGATTCACCCTTGTA
Organism: Homo sapiens; assembly: GCF_000001405.40. NCBI lineage: Eukaryota > Metazoa > Chordata > Mammalia > Primates > Hominidae > Homo > Homo sapiens. The sequence goes on from NC_000007.14 coordinate 143,453,818, forward strand.
GATCCCTTCTTTACATGTGTACATACATGTCTGATTTAAAACTTATATCTAAAACTGAACTCCTGATATTCTCTGACCTCCCACTCCAACATGCTTCTCTCACTATTTTTTCTGTTTCTGCCACTCCGTTCTTCTAGTTTCTCTGGGCAAAACCTTTTGCATTCCATGAAGAATCATTCAGCAACCCTGATGCTAGACCATTTAACCTAGAGCTAAAGCATTGGTAGATGACCTGCTTCTGGGTTGTGGTTTCATATGGAGAAAGCTGTCCTTTCACTCCAGTCTTTTGAAAGCCAGACCTTGACACAAGGGTTTGAAAAAGTCAGGGTTAGAGTTGAGGTTGTTAACTCAACCTTCAAAATGAATCTGTAACTCTACTGCTTATCACCACCTCCATTGCTACTGCTCTGGTGCAAGCCACTATAACTCTAGCTTGGATTATTGCAATGGCTTCCTAACTGGTTTTGCAGCTTCTGCTCTTGTTTGCCTTTGGTCTATTTCCAATACAACAAGCCAGCAGGATCCCTGAAAAATATAAATCATATCATGTCACATCTCTTTCATAATTCTGGATTTGCTTTTCATCCTAGAGTAAAAGCTTAAGTCTTCATAATGAACTAAAATGCCCTCTATAATCCATGTGCCCTATCTCATGTTTCTGAAGTCATCTGTTGCTGTTTTACCCTCCTCTCACACTGAGCTCATCCCTTTGGCTTTCTCGATGTTCCTTGAATTTGTCCAAAGTCTTTGCATTCTCTGTGCTTGGAATGCTATTCCCAGATATTAGCATGGCTCACTCCCTCACTTATTTCAGGAATTGTCATTGCTACTCTATCTAAATTGCAATACCCTGTACTACTATTCCCTGTCCTGTTTTTTTCTCCTTAGTATTACCACTATCTCTTTTACTTATTTATATTTTTTATGGTTTATTTCCCCCACTCTAATGTAAGCTTCTCGAAGACAGGGATTTGTGTCTGTTTTGTTTTTACTGGCAAATTGTAGGCACTCAATAAATATTTGCTGAACACATGCATACATTATTTTATTATAATTAACTAGACTACTATTATTATGCAACAGGTCATCATTTCTATGCTTGTAGAAATGGGCGTGGCTGCTAGAAGCTGGATCATCAATTGATATTCTCTTACACATTCAGAAACTGGTGATTTTGCTGGTTCACTGATACAACACTGAGCCTCCACATTTTTCACAGTTGTTGTTAGAGACGAGTAATTGCTTCCATGTTCATATACATCTTAACAAGCATTTATTGATCACTTTGATATGGAGGTCTAGGTGTACATCCCTGCTAAGTGCAATGGGGTTATAAAAGTAGGATCTTAACATTCAAGAAATTTACCATGCAACATATATACACCAGTTAAAGGAGTACGAAGCAGTGAAGAGCTGAAGTGACCACTAATGAAGTATAATATAATAGTTCATATTTGACCCTAGTACTGAGAGAATTATAAAATGGAAACTAATCGGATACAGTCCATTATTTAGTATTACTTATTTGTAATATTTTGCTGCAAATTTTGTACTTTTCAAATACTTGATATTGGGGTTTCTGTTTATCTTTGATAGTAATCTATTAGGTTCGACATTTCTTAAAGTCATGCATGGCCTCCTTTTCTGAACTCTTGTATACTTAGGCCCATATCGCTGGCCACTCTATTGTGATTCACTCAAGTGAATGGGGGTAATCTTGAGATTAAAAAAGTCACAAGAACAAGACCTCAGATAGGAGGAGGGTTGTGAGGGAAACTGGATCTTTGAAGTGAAATCAGAATTGTGAGGCAGAGAGGGAGCTTCTGCTCATGGGGTTGGCCTCTGTCACAGGCTTGTAATGATTCTGAGTTTCAATGGTGTGGATGGCTGGCCTTGGTGACAGATAAAAGCTTTCGAAACTGGGCTTCAGCAGTAGGCAGCTGAATGCATTTGGAACTTTAGTTAGCTGAGCTGACTGATGCATCTTTTAACTATAAATAATACTTGTTCTGGACTATAGTGATGGAAATCGAAGGCTAGTTGGGGGTAGGGGACTGTGTGTGGGGACAGTTCTTTTTGAAAACTTTTATTTTTCTTTCAGTAAGCCAAACAATTTTTAAAAAGAGGTTGAATAAACTATTTAAAATACACTATTTACATGATACTTTCATTATCTATTTTGCTCAAGGTGATTTTTTTAAAATATGAAACTGCTCCTATGTACTCAGATTGTTATACCTTTTACATCAAAACTAAATTGCAATAGTTTGTTTGTTTGGTTTTGAGATAAGTTCTCACTCTGTTCCCCAGGCTGAGCATAGTGGTGCAATCGTGGCTTACTGCAGCTTCAAACTCCTGGGCTCAAAGGATCCTCCCACCTCAGCCTCCTTGAATAGCTGAGACTATAAGCGCATACCACCATGCCCTACTAATTATTTTTCATTTTTTGTAGAGATGTAGTTTTGCCCTGTTGCGCAGGCTGTCTCAAACTCCTGGTCTGAAGTGATGCGCCTGCCTCAATCTCTCAAAGTACTGAGATTATAGGCATGAACCACCGTGCCCAACCAAGTGCAATGTTTTTGAGGACAAGATAGATTTCTGCCTCCAGTGGCAGTATAATTTTCATAAAATAAGGGATTAGGACTTTACTTTTAAAAGTTGGTGGCTTCCAAATCTGCTGACAAACTCCTTGAGGGGCTATGATTTGGGTCCACACCAAAAGCAGCATCTGTTTAATTCTGTAGGGATCAAGTACAAGAAGACTGTTGTCTTTATTGTTGGAAAGTTTCAAATGGAGAAGAAAAGTAGCTGATCCAAATTGGTCCACATTGGACCAGCTACTTTAGAGTTGGGAAGCATTTAAATTTTAACTCCTCTGTACTATAATTGAGGAATCTGTAAGAAAGTTGGGGGAAAAGCTGTATTTCTCAAGTTAAAGCCAATGGCTTATATTTATCCGAGTCAATAACATTACATTTTCCATTATCTGTGTTTGGGAATTTTTATTACAGGTATTCTTATGGTGAAGTTTTACTGATCCATTATTTTTTAATTTTAGTTTTGAAAAATGTCACCACCAACCTGTGGTGATGGGACCAGATATATTCAGGGGTTCCAACAAGTAAGAGTGAAAATGTCTTTGTATGTACAACATACTCTGCAGACATTCCAGTAGCCCACGGCTTTAGGTGAGGAGGATCATGAAGATGAAAATGTATACATGTTTCTTCTCAACATTTCCAAGCTAAATGCAAGCTTTACTGCTTCTATCATAGCATCTATTTAAAGTTTTGCCAACTCAGTCTCCTTGAATAACCAAATATTGAAAGCATCTGTACCAAAATATGTAGTGACACATCAAGATTATTTTAAAAAGGAAAAGCAACTAACCTCATTCATTCAACAAATATTTCCTTTGTGCCACTATGTGGGGGATGCAGGGGTTGAAGAAGATCCTTGTCCATTGAGAGAACAACGTGTGTCTCCCTATAAAACAAAGAGAAGTGTCTGAAATTAAAGCATGTATTTAAGTGATTAAGACCTTATACTGTGTTCAGCAAACATTCTTTGAGCAAATCCTTTTGAGAATCAGAAGATGAATGATCATGAACACTTTGTGAGGAAGAATCAATGAGTCACAGGTGCTGATGAATGAAAGAATCATAAACTTTAGAAATTCTTAAACATTTTTACTAGAGCAGTGAAAGAGAGAAATATTGCATAGTCTTGGCTATAAAGAATGTATAGTCCTTCAGATACAATGAGCAGCTCAGTAGTTGCTTGTGGAACATTTTACAACTACAGAATGACCCAGAGGCAGAGCCACGTGCCTTGCTGCAGTTGCAGGTACATGCACTCAACAGCATGTCCATGAACCCTGTTCTCTTCTGGAGGGTCTACGTGGCAGAAGCTCTGGCTCTTTCACATCAAGAAGGATCTTAAATTCTGGAGCAATGGCTCATACCTATAATCCCAGCACTTTGAGAGGCTGATGCAGGCAGATCGCTTGAGTCCAGGAGTTCCAGGCTAGTCTGGGCAACATAGCAAAATCCCATCTCTACAAAAAGTACAATTAGCCAGGTGTGGTCGCATGCGCCTGTGGTCCCAGCTACTCAGGAGGCTGAGAAGGGAGGATTGCTTGAGCCCGGGGAGGTCAAGGCTGCAGTGAGCTGTGATCACACCACTGCACTCCAGTCTGGGTGACAGAGTGCAGTCCCTGTCCTAAAATCAACAGCATTCTCATTCGAGTAAAAAATAATTAAACCTTGAGATATTTTCCTCTGCTTTCCTATGCTCTCCATTCACATTTCTTTGCTGAGTTTAAACCTTGGATTCTAAATTCTGCTTAAGTTCTACTGTCTTATAGATAATCGGAAAAGTTAAGTGGTTTCCCAAGGAGGACTCTGCTCCTGGCCTGTTTGCTCCAGCTTGGTCTAGCCCTATGATTGTTGTCTTTGACTCCCTCCTTGACTTGCAGTATTGATCTACATTGGTCTGTGCTTGTTTCTGACATCATCATACTTTATGAACTAGCATGGTTTCGATTCCAGTTTCCCTGGACCAGCCCAGTCCTGCAGCAACCGGTAGTAACCCAGCTCTGAGAAGTAAAATTGCAAAAGCCTCAAAGAAACTTCCTTTCTTTTGCCGTGACTTGAAATTTGTAAATGGCTTTCCTGAACTTAGAGAATCCTGAGTCAGAACCCAGAAATTTGGAATAAGTTAGTCAAGTGCCCTAATCACAGCCAGATGCCCTTCTAATCACTAATTCCCAAGACCAAATGAGGGTCAAACACTTTCTTGCACCACCCCTGGCATTCTACTGTAGGCATCCTCCTCCTTGTCTTACACTAGCAGAGATTTGGGAAGGGGAGGCTATCAGGGTTCTAATTTTGGCCTTTATCTTCGAAATTAAAAGGCTTCCAAGGCATGAAATTGGTGATGAAAAGAGCTAAACCAGATGACACAACGACTCTTAAAGAATGTGTTAGTGTCTTGGAGTCAAGACCTAAGTTTAAGTGTTCATTCTCTTCTGCCTCTTATTTTGTGGCTTTGAGAAGTCATTACCCTTACAGGCCCTCATTTTTTATGTCTGTAGGATGGGAATGGGGGCTGAATTCCTCAGGTTATGATGGTGGTGGCAAGATGGTCCTGCTGGTACTAGTAGTGGCAACATGTGTTTGCAGGAAAAGGCAGGGCAGACATGCTGAAAGGTTTAATTGGATCAATTAGTCCAACACTCAATATTTATATAGACGATTTTCCAGAAGACAGCAGTAATTACGTCTTTAGAAGATTAATATACAACTCTGTGTAATGGTGAGACTTTAAATACTGTGACCGGTTCTGTCTTGCTCTGCCCTTCCTCCATCCAGATATCCTCCAAGCCAGATAAATCAGTTCTTAATAGCCTCAAATCTAGTCTTGCAGGTTAAGGCTAATGTGGAGATAGAGTTATTTAGAGTTCCTTAACAACATCTGTCTTAGTCTGTTCTTGCTGTTATGACAAAATACCTGAGACTGAGTTACTTATAAACAATAGTAATTTATATTTTCATAGTTCTGAGGCTGGGAAGTCTAGGATCAAGGCACTGGCAGATTCAGTGTCTGGTGAGGAACTGCTCTATCGATGGCATCCTCTCTTGGTGCCATTCTCACCTGGCAAAAGTGATGGAAGAGCAAAAAGGCAAAAGGCAAAAGGGCAAAAGGCATGTGGGCACTCCCTTCAATTTCTTTTGTAAGTGCACTGATCTGTTCATGAGGCTCCACCCTCAAGAATGGATTAGTGCTCTTATAAAATAGACTTAATCACTTCCCCAAAGGCCCAGTCTCTTAATGTGGTTGCATTGGCAATTAGGTTTCAACATGTGAATTTTGAGGGACACATTTAAACCACAGCAATATCACAAAGAATTCATTAGTTTTAAAACTTAAATATTATTTTTGATAATACATGATTATTGCAGAAAATATGGAAAACAGACTATTATTAAAAAGTTAAAAATCCCTCATGTTCACTATACGGAGATAATCATAGTTGGCACTCATGACTCCTTCCAGATGTATCTTCTCACCCTGAATTATGCTCATTGTACAAAAACATACAATGCCAATATATCAACCATAAAAACATACTTTTACAAAATTAGAATACTAAATTTATATTGTTTTTTTCATATATTGTGACTATTTCCTTTATCTATAATGACAGACACAAGGCCTTTCCAAAGTATAAAAGGATACTTTGAAATATAAAAATAGATGAAAAAGCATGAACAATATAAAATGATGAATAAGCAAAGGAATTCTTACCATTTCACATGAGGAATCATTAGTTTTCACCGATTGCAAACTTCTAGAATACCCAAATATAGAAAAGTATGAAACAGAACAAAAAATAAACCTTAGGAGTAAAATATGTGATTAAATTAGTTACTAAGCAGAATTTTATTCTAGGTCCTTCACAGCAATTTTAAATGGACCAGGATAAAATAGATTTGGTAATGTTGTTTCAGAATTATTCTACCTTAGTGATGTTTCCCTCTCCTAGGTCCAGCAGGATAGTCTGGACAGGGATAGAATCTGAATATTTTATTTCTGGCAAAATCTTTATGTCTTTGCTCGTTGTTTTCCTATCTATGTCATGACAACTCTTGTAAACATTCCATTTTTTTCTGTTCAAGGCAGAAATCATAGGCCAGTCCTATCAAAGGTTCTCAGTCAATACTATTCTGCATTATAGCATTATCTTCCAAGGAGCATGCTTTCAATATATTGACTTTTTACATTTACTATTTTTAACTACTATGGACAAATTTTATATTATGTAAGACTGTCTCAGGCATGATATTCGTTGATTCTTAGTCACTTTGGGGAAATTTATTATAACCATTTTATTTTGCATAGTTTTGCATAGTTTCAGTGGTTTCTCTCTCACACACACACACACACACACACACTCACTGTGGTGGCAGATTACATTGAGATTGAAATGGCATCATTCATCTGGGGTAATATCTGAGGTTTGTTGTCTCACAGCCACGGAAAACTAGGACGTGGACACACAAAGAGTAAGGTTCAGAGTGGAAATTTAATAGGCCAAAGAAAGAGAAGTGCTCTCTGCTGCAGAGATGGGTCCCAAAAAATGGGTTGTCAGTCCCACAGTGAAATGTAGGGGGTTTTATAGATGAGCTTGAGGAGGTGGTGTCTGATTTATATAGGGCACAAAAGATTGGTCAGACCTGGTGTGCCATTTTCACAGGGCACAAAAAACTGGTTGAGGCTGCCTGGCTGGTGTCATGTCGCCTGTTTCTTTATTGTACACGTGGTAACAAAGAAAAGGGAAGATAGAGCCTCCATGTTGGACAGGCCTGGCCCCCAGGTAGCCCTTTTCTCTGGGCATAGCTGTTGGCATTCCCCCATGCAAGCTTCCAGCTTGCTTGTCTATATTTGTAGTTTGATTTTTCAGGTTGCCCTTTGTTGGAAAAAAATAATTTCTTGGGCTGCTTTTTGTTAAAGGGGAAGCTCTGCTGAGGACTCTTTTACCCTCACTATCTGCTTAAATAATTTCTTTCTACCTCCTGTATCAATATTGATGTGTAGAGGACAGAACACAGGACTCAGAATAACATCTTATTCCGAAAATCTTCCTCAAGCAATCTTGAATAAGTCACTTAAACTCTGAGCATACATTTTCTATTATATAATTATGATAATTCTTATTTTGCTCTTGGTTGTGAGAATAAAATGTGCTGATGGAGATGAGATGCTTAGCATAGTGCTTGATTGATATGATAAGCACTTTATGAATTATTAGAATCTAGAGGATGAGATTTCCAAATTAAGGTATACCTGTGTCAATACCCTACCAAAGCATCTAAATAAAAATATTTGCAAAATTTACTTAAATTTTAATCTAAATATTGGGGGCAACAGACAGGCAACCAATATACTCTATTTTTTTTTTGTACATTCTTAGAACCAATCAGGGATAAAATTGAGGACTGTAGTGTAATTCTGCAATGGGTTAATCTTGCCCACTTCCCAGAAAAGCCAGTGCATTGAGAACAGCAGATTTTTTTCAGTAGAGGAAGTTTAATTAACATAGAGCTAGCCAAATGAAAGGACAGGAGTTTGTTACTCAAATCAGCCTCCCTGAGAACTCAGAGGCTGGGGATTTATGAATAATCTGGTGGGCAGGGGGCTAGGGAATGGGTGCTGCTGATTGGTTAGAGATGAAATCATAGAGGTGTGGAAAACAGTCCTCATGTCTTGAGCCCCTCTGGATAGGGGCCACAGGACCAGTTGAGTCATGAGTCATTCCTAGAGGTGTCAGTCAGTTGCCAGAATGCAAAAGTCTGAAAAAATAAAACATCTCAAAAGGCCAATTTTAGGCTTTACAGTAGCGATGCTATCTACAGCAGCAATTGGGCAAGTCACAAATCTTGTGACCTCTGGCCACGTGACTCCCGAGCTGTGAGGGATTATAAAAACTATGCCTATATCTTAACAGAACTCAGGTCCCCTCCTGTAGTTCTAATCTCATGGCCTTTAATTAGTTTTACAAATGTTGTTTTGGTCCCTGAGCAAGAAGGGGACCACTTTTTAGGGAGGGACAATTATCATCCTTACTTCAAAGTTAAACAGTAAACAAAATTCCTGCCATGGTTAGCTTGGCCCACACTCAGGAATGAGCCAGGACAGCCAGCTTGTGAGGCTAGAAGCAAGATGGAGTCAGCCATGCTAGATTTCTGTCTCTGTCATAATCTTTGCAAGAGTGGTTTCAACTGGCTTCAGAGAACCTGGTGAGGAGACTGTATTAGTCTTTTACTGCTGTATAAAAAATTTCTACAAATTTAATGGCTTAAATAGCACTCATATTATTAGCTCATATTTCTGTCGGTCAGAAATTCAGGTCCTGCTTTACTGGAAGCCCTGCTGTAGGGTCTCTCTGGGTTGAAATTAAAGTGTTGGCTGGAATTATGTTTTTGGTTTTTTTTTCCAAGGAATTTTATTTTATTTTTCATCTTTTATTTTAGTTTCCGGGGGCACATGTGTAAGTTTGCTACATGGATAAATTGTGTGTTGCTGAGGTTTGGTGTACAATTGATTTTGTCGCTCAGGTAATGAGCATAGTACCCAATAGGTAGTTTTTCAATCCTTACCCACCTTCCACCCTCAAGTAAGCCCCAGGATCTATTGTTCCCCTCTTTGTGTCTACTCAATATTTACCTCCCACTTATAAGTGAGAACATGTAGTATTTGGTTTTCTGTTCCTGTGTTAATTTGCTTAGGATAATGGCCTCCAGCTGCATCCATGTTGCAGCAAAGAACATAATTGCATTCTGTTTTTATGGCTGCATAGTATCCCATGGTGTATATGTACCATATTTTCTTTATCCAGTCCACCGTTGGTGGGCATCTAGGTTGATCTCATATATTTGCTATTGTGAAAAGTGCTGTGATGAACATATGTGTGCATGTGTCTTTATGGTAGAACGATTTTTATTCCTTTGGTTATATACCTAGCAACGGGATTTCTAAGCTGAATGGTAGTCTGTCGTAAGTTCTTTGAGAAATCTCTAAACTGCTCCCATGGCAGCTGAACTAATTTATATTCCCACTAGCAGTGCATGAGTGTTCCCTTTGCTTCACAACCTTGCCAATATCTGCTATTTTTTTTTTCACTTATTAGTAATATTGGCTGGGAATTTGATTCTTATTTGGGACTTGTGGTCCTCTTCCAATCTCACTGATTATTGGAAGAATTTATTTCCTGAGTTGTGAGACCAAGGTCCCCATTTTTTGATAGCTGTTGGACAGAAATTGCTCTGAGCTTTTAGAAGCCACCCTCAATTCCCTGTAACTTGGCTCTCATGGGCAAGTTACAGCATAAATACTTGCTTTATTCCAGGCCAGACTGAGTGTTTCTTTCTTACTTCCTCTTCTGCCACCAGCTGGAGAAGTTTCTCTGCTTTTAAAAGGCAAGTGTGATTAAGCCATGCCACATTGATAATCCTATTTTAAGGTCAATTGATTTGGACATTTGACTACATCTGCAAAATTCCTTCACAGCAGTACCTAGATTTGTGCTTGACTGAATAACTGAGAGAAGGTGTCTGCAAACCAGGAGCCAGAAATCTTGGGGTCATCTTAGAATTCTGTTTACTGTAGAAGCATAATCTTAGTCTTTTTTTTTTTCATGTGTTCTACTGTTTATCTCTGGGTAAATTTAGAGAAATTATTTTTTTCCTTGGGTATTAGTCAGGGCTCTTTTAGATACAAGTGGCAAAAGAATTTTACCTCAAGAAAGCAAGGGAATTTTTGGACATTCATAGATTGGAAATCTAGACATGTCATTCTGTTATGAACATGACAGTATCCAGTGGTTCACACAGTGTCTTCAGGGCTTTGCTCTTGCCTTTTCTTTGCATTTGGCTTTTGTCAAACGCATCTTGCAGATGCATTCTTCCATGGGGCTAGGGAAGATGGTAGCTGGCAGCTAGAATTCACATTCCCAAAGGGAGAGAAACCTTCTCTCTCAGCAGGACTAATATAGCAAATTATAGGGAAGCTCTAGATTGGCCCAGTATGGAATAGATGCCCATTCCTGATCCAGTATCTCTGCCCTGGGGCTAAAATACTCTGATTGGCCAGCCTGGGTCATTGCATAGCCAGAGTTATGATTGGAGAGTGGGGCATAGTGGTAGAATTCTCAAAACCAGATGGAGGGGTGGTGAGTTTCCCAAAGGCAAAGCAGAATGCTGTAATCTTGGAACTCAAATTGGGTACTTGTTGTGAGGAGATTATCAGGGTGAGAACCATCAATATGATAGTGGCCTTTCTGAAGTAGAAATTATTACCATTCCTACAAATGATGGATCCATCGTGGTTGGAATAGTCTTGGAAATTATAAACATAACTGGTAGGTCTAGAGTTGGCAAATGTATGACTATAAAATAAACTGTCATTAACTATTAATGCCCAAATTATAATGGCTAATGCAGCCATCCTTAATTTCTGCTCCTCAGTGCTCCTGCCCTCTCTCCTCTGTAAACTATTTCCCCAGTTACTTTTGTAATGGTGGTGGGTAGAAGTGGTTCCAATCATCTATATTTCATGTTTTCATGCAAAGGGTACCTTATGGCATATTCTTCCTCTCCACGTCTGTCTCTCTGGTTGATATCCATGTCCATGAGCTCCCTAAAGGGGAGCTGTCCCTATGGGACATCCGCTTGTGAGACCACCAGCATCCATATCACAGGGGCTGTGTCGCAATGTACCTGTATCACCAGTTCCCAGGATACTAGAGCAATGCTGGCTCTGTGCAGCTGTAGCAAAATGACCCTGTTCAACTGGACCCCAAACCACCCTTCCCTTGACTGTGCTGAGAGAGTTACAAGTGCAAAGAGTTGGCTTCAAATCAAAATTTTCTTCCTTTGATTGATCATGTTTCCAAAAATGATTTTCTGTAAACTTCAAATATGTGATAACAGCATGCCAGGAGTTTTGCGATCTGGCCCCTGTCTACCTCTCTGGCATCACCCCTTGACATCTGCTCCCTTCTTCTCCGTTTTCATATAATTCACCTCCTGTCATTCTGAACTACCTTGATATCTCTCCCTCTCTGCGCTTTTTCCTATCGTGATCCTTTTCCCTTAGCTTACCTCCTCTCCTTTCCATCCTCAGTTGCCTTGCTAAATATGCGAAATTCAAGATTCACGTCAAGCATTATACGTTCCTGCAAGACCTCACCAACATCCACCTTCTCTTACCCTTTCCCCTCCACATCCTACCAGATTTTGTGCATTTTTTAAAATGCTTTCAGAGGTAAGACAGGATATTGCAATGGTGGAAAAATACAGGCTTTGTAGCTAGACTGCCTGAATTGAAATCCTAGTTCTGCCATTTATTATAGGTATGACTATGAAAAGTTACTTCTTACTTACCTGTGTTTCCTTATTTGTAAAATGAGGACAGGAACAGTACCTACCCCACTTGATTTCTTTTATATGCATTATTTTACATTTTGTTGCTCAATTTTCCCCAAATTTGAGCAGTAGGCAGGCTCCCTGTGTCTTTGAAATATGCCCATCAGCTTTTTAAAACAGTTTTATTGAGATATAACTTACATGTAATGCAATGTATCCATCAGCATTTCATTTCTTTTTATTGCCAAATAATATTCTATTACATGAATGTACCACCTTTTGTTTGTCTGTTCATCAGTTGATGAACATGTACATTGTTTCCACTTTGGGGATATTGTGAATAATGCTTCTGTGAACATCAATGCACAAGTTTCTTTTTTTCTTTTTTTTTTTTTTGAGACGGAGTCTCGCTCTGTCTCCCAGGCTGGAGTGCAGTGGCACAATCTCGGCTCACTGCAAGCTCTGCCTCCCGGGTTCACGCCATTCTCCTGCCTCAGCTTCCTGAGTAGCTGGGACTGCAGGCACCCGCCACCATGCCCGGCTAATTTTTTTTTTGTATGTTTTAGTAGAGATGGGATTTCACCGTGTTAGCCAGTAGGGTCTCCATCTCTTGACCTCATGATCCGCCCGCCTTGGCCTCCCAAAGTGCTGGGATTACAGGTGTGAGCCACCGCGCCAGGCCCAATGTACAAGTTTCTATGTGGGCATATGTTTTCATTTTTCTTATGTGTATATCTACAAATGGAATTTTTGAATCATGTGGTAACCGTTTGACATTTGAAGGAGCTGCACCCAAACAGCTTTCCAGAGCAGCAGCACCATTCCGTAATCCCACCAACAGTCTGTTAGGGATCTGATTTCTCCCATCCTTGCCAACTCTTGTAAGTATCTGTCTTTTTGGTTTTAACTATGATAGTGGGTGTGAAATGGTATCTTGTGGTTTTTATTTGCATTTTCCTAATGATAAATAATGTGGAACATTTTTTCAGGTGCTTATTGGGTGTTTTCTATAGCATCTTTGGAGAAATGTCTATTCAAATCCTTTGCCTATTTCTTAATTGGGTTACTGTCCTTTTTGTTTTGAATTGTAAGTGTTCTTTATATTTTTGGATGCAAATTCCTTATCAGATATGTAATTTGTAAATATTTTCTCTCACGATGTGGTTTTCACTTTATTAATAGTGCCCTTGGATGCACATTTTTAATTTTTATGAAGTCCAATTTGTCTATTTTTTTCCTTTAGTAACTTGTACTTTTGGTATCATATCTAGGAAGGCTTTGTCTAATCCAAGATTATGAAGATTTATTACTAAGATTTATTCTAAGAGTTTTAGAATTTTAGCTCTTACATTTAGATTTATGATCCACTGTAATTTTTATGTATGTTGTGAGGAAACAACTTCATTATTTTGTATGTGGATATCTAATTGTCCCAGAATCACCTTTGAAATTCATTTTTTTTGTGAGAATAACAATATTAACACATTTAAAGCACTTAGAATAACACATGAGGATGCATAGCAACACTGCGTATATATTAGTTATTATTTTATCATTTATTACACTAAGTTGTCATTATATGTCTACTTGTCTTTCTTCCTCAAGAACTATTTTAATCTTTGTACCTATGTGCTTGGTCTAATGTCTGTCAGATAGTGTTATATATGGTAAGTGGGTTTTGTTGAATGAATGGGTGATGAATAGGCCTTCTTTGCTGAGGCAAGGAGAAGTAAGCATAGGAAAGATGCCAATCTTAATGCTGATATGCTACTGTGCTAAATTTGGGTTGCAACCCAAGGATCTCTCAAACATTAGAACATGTTAATGGTGTCTAATTTCCCCAGTGAGCATAGCACACAACTCCTGGGTGCAGATCATCCTGGAGATATAGAATTTTTTCAGTGTGTTTTTCATTCCAGTGTTTCCATGCTTACCTTTTTATTTCCTCTTCCCCTTGTCCCTGAGTATGAGCTCAGGGAATGGAATTACTCTCTAATATCAGTCTCAGCCAAATCTCCTTTGCAGGGAGGGTCTCTTGGCTTTCAACCCCCCCAAAAGTTGAAGGTGCAAGACTTGCTCTCAGCCTTTTTGCAGTCTCCATCTATATTCTTTCCCTAGATGATCTCATCTAGTTTAATGGCTTTAAATACCATGTAAGTATAGATGACTCCCAAACCTGTTCCTCCAGCTTTAACTCTTCACCGGAATCCAGATTTACATTTCAGTTGTCTACTTCATGTCTCAACTTAGAAATCTGATAGACATCTCAAACTTAATATGACCAAAACAGATTTCCCCCTATCAATATATTCCTCTCTCAGTCTTCCTCACCTCAGTAAATGGCTCCATAAAATTCTTCAGTTTACTGAAATTAAAAAGGTAGAATCTGTCCTTGATTCCTCTTTCTCTCACCTCTCTTTATCATGCAAATTCTATTGAATTCACTTTCAAAATATGTCAGCATCTTATCACTTTTTACAACCTCTAGTGTTTCCACCTGAGGACAAGCTACCATCTACTTGTACATGGTCTAATGCAGGAGACTCTACTGTTCTCTTTCACCTTTACCTCTCCCCGGTTCTATTCTCTATATAGACAATAGAAGATCTGTTTAAAACCATAAATTAGATCCTGTTACTCCCTTGTAGTGGCTCATGCGTGTAATCCCAGCACTTTGGGAGACTGAGGTGAGCGGATCATGAAGTCAGGAGTTCGAGACCAGTCTGGCCAACATAGTGAAACCCCATCTCTACTAAAAATACAAAAAAATTAGCCGGGTGTGGTGGTGTGTACCTGTAATCCCAGCTACTTGGGAGGCTGAGGCAGGAGAATTGCGTGAACCTGGGAGGTGGAGGTTGCAGTGAGCCGAGATCATGCCATTACACTCCAGCCCGGGTGACAGTGTGAAACTCTGTTTCAAACAAAATAAAACTAAACAAAACACCCCAAAAACAACAACAAAAAACCCTCCAGTACTTTCCATTACACTAGAATAATATCCAAGTTTCTTTCTTTTTTTTTTCTTTTTTTTGAGACAGAGTGTTACTCTGTCACCCATGCCAGAGTGCAGCAGTGCGATCTCGGCTCACTGCAACCTCCACCTCCCAGGTTCAAGCAATTAATTCTCTGCTTCAGCCTCCCGAGTAGCTGGGCCCGCCACCACGCCCGGCTAATTTTTTTTTTATTTTTTTTTAATTTTTTTTATTTTTAGTAGAGATGGGGTTTCACCATCTTGGCCAGGCTAGTTTTGAACTCCTGACCTCGTGATCCACCTGCCTTGGCCTCCCAAAGTGCTGGGATTACAGGCGTGAGCCACCATGCCCAGCTCAGAATATCCAAATTTCTTACCATGACCAACATGACTTTGTTGATCTTTCCCTTTAAGTAACAGGTGGTAAAAGTTGAGATTTTTTTTAACTAGGTACAGCTATTTAATGATACGAGATTTCCAAGTGAGCTGCCAGTTCACTATATTCAGATTTTCAAAGGAAATGGACATAAACCTGTTATATAACTTTTGAAACTCTTTGATAAAATGAAAGAGTTTAGACAGTTGAGGAAAGAGAATTTTATGAGAGTAAATATTTAGAAAAATTCATGCTGTGAGTCCCATCTGATATTCCATTGAGAAGGATGAGAAATTTCTTTACCCTCACCTCAGGAGCTTCCATGAGGCCACTCACAAAGCTCACCATGCTATTTCTTTAGTTGAGAGGCATAGTAAACTGGGGTCTTGCTTCTTCCTGGCAGATGTAGAGGATGAAAGGCAGACTGACTAGCTAACTTTTGGGAAGAGGCAAAAGAATGTGGCTACATCAGGACTGTTGGAGCAAGGCTAGGAGACCAGCTGTGGGCCATCAGAGGGTGCTATGATCTGAGTATCCACCCAAATTCATGTACTGAAACTTAATCATCAATGTGATAGTACTAAGAGATGGGGCATTTAGGAGTTGATTAGGTCACAAGGGCTCCACCTTGTTAGGTGACATTAATCATGTATAAAAGGGCTGGAGAAAACTAGATAGAACCCTTTTTGCCCTTCTGCCTTCTACAATGTAAGTCTGCAGCAAAGAGCATCATCTTTGAAGCAGAGAGTAGCCCTCAACAGAAGCCAAATCTGTTGGCACCATAATCTTGGATTCCCCAGCCTCCAGAACTGTGAGAAAAATACATTTCTGTTCCTTATAAATTACCCAGTCTCAGATATTTTGTCATAGAAGCACAAATAGACAAAGGCAGGGAGACAGCATGTGTGTGAGGCTGTCTTGAGACTTGACTGATAGAAACGCCCAGTGAACTGTGAAAGCTCCAGCAGCCAAAATTTTGTGGCATATGCCTAGGGGCTGAGAAAGGAGTCACAAAGGATCACCCCAAATAGAGATGCTTTCTCTCTAATGAATAGAACTGCAGGAGAGAGTGCCCAGTAGGAAACATCCAGAGCTGTGAAAATTTCACATGAGGGAGAAAGTCAGCACTAAATAATTACCAGGCCCAGAAAGCACAAAGCCAGATTCTTTTTGTACTAGTCCAAGTGAGACCTTTCCTGCCCCTTTTCCAATCTCCTTATGCATCAGCCAATCTCAGAGTGGTTGAAGCTACTGTTATCTTGTTATTTTGTATTCATAAACTGGACCGGAATCTCTAATTTCTGATTTGAGGCTGTTTTGTTACTTGAAGTGATCTTGTGGCTTGAAGTAATCTTGTAACAATCTACTTGATAAGAGTGAAAAAAGGTCACCCATCCTGCTGGAATTCTTATTCTTTAGCCTGAGCAGTTTCCCCTGTGAATAAAGTTTGAAGGAATGGTGGAAGAGAATGAATAAAATTATGATTTGATAATATTTTCAGGGAAATACATACAAGGCAAAGGATCTAATTGCTTGGGCTCCTCAACCCACATGTCACCTCCTGAGAAAGCTGCTTTCAGCCCTCAGGTGTATGGGGGCAACATTTTCTTCTCCAGCCAGTCTCCAGAAATCTAACCCTTCTATTGTCTTCATAGAATTGATTATTATCTGAAAGTATCTTGCTTTTGTTGTTGCTTATTGTCACTTACCTTCTATCGGACTGCAAGTTCCATGAAAGCTGGGATCCTGTCTGC
The DNA here is from genome assembly GCF_000001405.40 of Homo sapiens. Taxonomy (NCBI): domain Eukaryota; kingdom Metazoa; phylum Chordata; class Mammalia; order Primates; family Hominidae; genus Homo; species Homo sapiens. The sequence continues at coordinate 143,470,846 of NC_000007.14, forward strand.
CTAGTAACTAGAATAGAGTCCAGCAAATATAAATGCTCAATAAATATTTTATGAATGAATGAATGAGTGAATGAATGAAAACAGTAAAAGAAACATACACCTGAAGTGAGAAAAATGCATATACACTCAACGTCAATGAGATCTCTCTTTTTTATTTTTACTATGTATTATTAATTTTAATACGACTATACGTTTCTGCTGTGGTAGTAACAACTTTCACATTATTTGTATGACTAGTTTTCTCAGTTGACTCTTATAACAAAGGCACAGTTCAAAAGGATACACTAACCTTAAAATAGTTTTAAACAAATATGGAGAAAGAATATATTTGAAGTATTAAATAGAAAACATTTAAATATGGATCAACTTGAATGTATTTTTATTCAAGAAAATATTTTTAGAGCAAGATGGTCAACCGGGAGTCCCAACTTTTGTCTCCCCATGAAACGACAATTTAACAACTATCCACTGATGAAAATAGGAGGGCTCTGGAATACTATGAAGAAAATGCAGCAACCCAATGGAGCATAAAAGACTAGGATGGCTACATAGAAAAGCACAGGAATCATTTTACCTTGTCAGTCCTTCCCACTGTTTGGCACGGCTCAGTGCCAAAAGGGATACATTTAGCTGCAATCTTTCCCCATTGGGGTAAAGGAGGGAAGGAGGATCTCAACAACCTTCAACACTGAGGACTCCAGCAGCCTTTGTTGTAACCACAGACACCTGCAGCTTTTCCCACTAAGGACCGTTGCAGTTTTTGCCAATGATGATTCCAGCTGATGGAGCTATCCGGAGTCCATACCATGTGATACTCCTCTCTCACACTGGGCCCAAATTTACCATACTACCTTGAAGTTGGAGCTACCATTTCTTCTACCCCAATGTGGGAGCCGCTGCATGCCACCCTGCCAGCACCCTCAAACCCACCCATATATAAAGTTCTTTCTCCACCAAAGCCAGTTTTTAGAGTTTAGAAAAGGTTACTGCTCCTTCAAGTGTGCAGTCATCAACCTGAGGCTAAAAGGAACATAAAAAACCAAGGAAACATGACATCACAAAAGAAACACAATAAATTTCCAGTAACCAACCTCAAATAATTGGATATATACAACCTACCTGACAGAGAATTCAAAATAATTATTTGAAAGAAGCTCAGTGAGCCACAAGATAACACAGACAATGCAACAATATCAGGAAAATAACACATAAACAAGTTCAAAAAAGATCCAGGAATCATAAAAAAGAACCATACAAGAATTCTAGAGCTGAAGAATATAATTAATGAAATGAAAAATGCAATGGACAGCCTCAACAGCAGACGTAATTGTGGGAAAGAGAGTTTCTGGGGTGCCAGTTGAATTGGTCTCCCCTGTGTGAGACACCCATGGGCTGCCCGAGAAAAGTCTCCTTATTGCCTTCATGTCTTTATGCCCCGAGAGCATAACGCTCAGCGGCATTCCACAGGTTGCTCAGGGAGATAACACTCCCTTGAAGCAGTGGAGTATAATCAAACAGCTTGGCTCCTCCTGAAACCTGCTCCCACCAGTTTCAGTCCTGATAAGTTAAAGATCTTAAGTAGTTTAGACACACACCTTTGCTCAAGGAAATTCACAGAAGCCGCCACTGCTATACATCTTATCGAATGACTCACAAGTTCTCCTTCACTGATTCATCCTTTTCCTCATCCCTTCCTCCCCCTCCCATCTACCCTAAGAACAAAGAGCTTGTAAACCAATAAATTGGGTGGAGCCCGAGAGCTCTGGGCCGTGAGCAAGCCTCCAACGCTCCAGTCCCCTGGACCCACCTTTAAAACGCTTATTCTGTCTCTTTCTAACTCCTTTGTCTCTGCCGGACTCGGAGTACCCGCTGGGTAGTGTGGGGCTGGTTTCCCCAACACTTAATCAAGCAGAAATCTGCAAACTGGAAGACAGATCATTTGAAATTATCCAATCATAGAAGAAAATAGAAAAAAGGAATGAAAAAGAGTAAAGAAAACCTATGAGATTTATGGAACACCATCAGGTAAACAAATATATACACAATGGTAGTCTTGGTAGGAAAATAGAGAGAAAGAGAGAGGTGACAGAAAACATATTTAAGTAAATAATGGCTGAAAACACCCCAAATCTTGGGAGGGAAATAGACATCTGGATTCACAAAACTTGAAGAACACTAAAAAATTTCCACCCAGAGAAGACTACATGAAGACAAATTATAATCAAATTGTTAAAAGTCAAGGACAAAGAGAATTTTGAAAGAAGCAAGAGAAAAGCTATCATACTTAACAGTACACCCATAAAACTATCAACAATTTTCTTAGCAAAGGTCTTGCAAGCCAGAAGAGAGTTGGATGATATGTTCCATATATTGGAGAAAAATTCCAACTAAGAGTACTACATCCCACAAGACTATTTTGTTTTTTTTAAATGCAGAAGAGGTAAAGTCTTTCTCAGACAAATACAAACTGCGAAGGTTCATCACCACCAGATCTGCCTTACAATAAATGCTTAAAGGAGTTCTTCAAATTGAAATAAAAACCTGCTACACAGCAATGAAAAAATATATGAAAGCATAGATACCACCACTAAGGGCAAATATGTAGACAAATACAGAATAATGTAACACTGTAATAATGGTATAGAAATTACTTTTAATTCTAATATAATAGTTAAAAGATAAAAATTTGATAATGGATACACAATATAAAAAGAAGCAAACTGACTACAAAAGCACAAAGTGTGGGTGGGGGAAAGTAAAAATGTAGAATTTTAATATGCAATTGAAGTTAAGTTGTTAACATAAAATAGACAATTATATCTACAAGGTATTTTATGTAAACCTCGAGTTACCCACAAAGAAAAAAACCTATAAAAGATACACAAATATAAAGGGAACATAAAAATTGAAGAGTTAAAGGAAATCACTACAAAAATCATCAAATGACAAAGCAAGACAGCAAAAGAGGAAGAGAGGAACAAAACAACTGCAAAACAAATAACAATTATTGCTATATTTGATATTATTGCAAAAGGGTCCTCAGCTACCAATAATTACTTTAAATAAAAATGGATTAAACTACCCAATCGAAAGGCAAAGAGTGGCAAATAAATTAAAAACAACAAGATCCAGAGATATGCTGTCTGTAAGAGATCACTTTAAGACACACGTAAGATGAAACTGAAGGGATAGAAAAGATTTTCATGCAAATAGTAAACAAAAGAAATCAGGAGTAGTTATACCCAACAAAATAGAATTTAACTAAAAAACTGTCTCTAGAGACAAATAAGTCATTACATAATAATAAAAGGGCCAACTCAACAGGAAGATAAGACAATGATAAAAATATATGTGCCCAACTTGAGAATATATAAATATACAAAACAAATATTGACAGTTCAGACAATATTGACAGCAATATAATAATAGTAGGAGACTTCAATAACTGACTTAACATAATGAATAGAACATTCAGACAAAAATGAATAAGCAGTTTACCCGAACAACACTGCAGACTAAGTGGACCTTTTCACCCAATAGCAGCAGAACACCCATTCTTCTCAAGGGCACATGCAACATTCTCCAGGATAGATCCCGTCCTAGGTCACAAAATAAGCCTTAACACATTTAAGGAGATTGAAATTATTCCAACTATCTGGTCTGACCACAAAAATTAAACTAGAAGTCATTAACAGTAAGACAACAAAAACATTCAGAAATACATGGAAACTAAACACATTTTGAATAATCATTGAATCAAAGAATCAAAAGGTAATTTGAGAAGGATTTCAAGACAAATGAAAACAAAAACACTACATACCAGCACTTATAGGAATGCAGTACTAGAGGGAAATTTGTAGTGATAAATACATTAAAAGAAGAAAGATCTCAAATAAACAACCTAATTTTACACCTCAAGGAAGTAGGAAAAGAGCATAAAACATAAAACACTGATGAAAGAAATTGAAGAGGACACAAATAAATGGAAAGATATCTTATGTTCATGGAATGGAAAAATAAATATTGTCAAAATATCCAAATTATCCAAATCTACAGATTTCATGTAACTTCTATAAAAATTCCAATGTCACTCTTCACAGAAATAGAAAGAAAATCCTAAAATTCATGTGGAATCACAAAGGACCCTGAATAACTAAAGCCATCTTGACCAAAAAGAACACAGCTGTATGTATCACACTACTGTATTTCAAAATATATTACAAAATGATAGCAATCAAAACAGCATGGTTCTGGCAAAAAAACAGACACATTGACCAATGGAGTAGGATTGAAAGCCCGTGTATAAAACTACACTTCTGTGGTCAATTGATTTTTGACAAAGTGCCAAGAATACACAATGGGGAAAAGATAGTCTCCTCAATAAATGAGGTTGGGAAAACTGGGTATCCACATGCAGAAGAATGAAATTTCATCCTCTTCTTACACTACATGCAAAGTTAAATCAAAATAGATTAAATATTTAAATGCAAGACCTGAAATCATAAAACTCTTAGAAGGACACATAGGAAAAGAGCTTCTTGACACTGGTTTGGGTAATGACTTATAGAAAACTACACCTAAAGCACAGGCAAAAATTCAGCTAAATAAACATAGACAAATGGGATTGCATCAAAATAAAAAGCTGCAAAGCCAAGAAAACAACCAGCAGAATGGAAATTGGGAGAAAATATTTGTAAACAACATATCTAATAGGTGTTAATTTCCAAAATATATAAGGAACTTTGGCTGGGTGCCCTGGCTCACGCCTGTAATCTTGACATTTTGGGAGGCCAAGGCAGAAAGATTGCATGAGCCCAGTAGTTTGAGACTAGCCTGAGCAACATAGTGAGACTCTGTCTGTACAAAAAATAAAAAAAATTAACCGGGTGTGGCAGTGCATGCCTTTAGTCCCAGATACCTGGAAGGCTGAGGTGGGGAAGATTGGATCATCCTTCCTACCTTGAGGCTCCAGTGAGCTGTAATGGTGCCACTGCGCTCCAGCCTGGGTGGCAGAGTGAGACCCCGTCTGAAATAAATAAATACAAATAATAAAAATACAAGGAACTTATTCAACTGTAGTGCAGAAATAAACAAAAAACATAAATAACCTGATTTTAAAATGGGCAAAGGACCTGAATAACATCTCTCAAAAGAAGACAAAAATCGTTCATGAAAATATGTTTAATATCACAAATCACCTGAGAAATGCAAATCAAAACCACAATGAGGTATCATCTTACATGTGTTAGAATGGCTGTTACCAAAAAGATGAAGGATAACAAGTGTTGGCAAAAATACAGAGAAAAGCAGCTCTTTCAGTCTGTTGACAGGAATATAAATTATGGAAAACACTATAAAGATTTCTCAGAAAATTAAAAACAGACCTACCTTATCCAGTAATTCCACTTTTAGGTGTATATGCAAAGGAAATGAAACTAGTATTTTGAAGAGATATCTGCACTCCCATGTTCATTGAAAATTATTCACAATAGCCAAGACATGGAAACAATCTAAAAGCCCATTAACAGATGAATGAACAAAGAAAATGTGGTGTGCATACACAATGGAATATGATTCAGTCTTAGAAAAGGCGATTCTGCCATTTGCAACAACGTAGATGGAACTGGAGGACATTATGCTATGTGAAATGCTCCAGAGACAGAAATACATATATTGTACGATCTCACTTACATGTGGAATCTGAAAAAACAAACCCACAGAAGTAGAGAGTAGATTGGTGGTTGCCAGGGTTCTGGAAGGGGAAATGGGGAGATATTGGTCAAGGGGTATGAAGTTTCAGTTATGCTAAGTGAACATGCTTTGGAAACCTAAGGTATGGTAGTATGAGTATAGTAAACAATACTGCACTGTATACTTGAACTTTCATGAGAGGGTAGATCTTAAGTGTTCTCACTACACATGAAGAAATTGAAAACAGGAATTATGTGAGGTGATAGATATATTTTAAAAGAAAATATTTTTACTTTCAACATGGTCTCATAGGGACTTCTTTTTGATGTTGGTGTTAGACAGGACTCACATATGCCTCGGGTATCTCAGGGTGGCAGACAGACTGTAAAGTGGCCCTGCCTGTCCCTCAACCCTGGTGTTGGGCCTTTGTGTAACCTCCTTCTTTTGAGTGTTGTTGGTGACAGTGACTTGCTTCTAGCCAATAGACTATGGCAAAGGTGATAGGCTGTCACTCCAATGATTGTGTTATGTTATTTAAGACCCCATCTTGTTAGCAGACTCCCTTTAGAGACTGCTGACTTGACGTGAGTGGCCATGCTGAAACAGCTTACCTGGCAGAGACTGTGAGAGGCCTCTAGGACCAGAGAGCAGTCTCCCACCAACACCCAGGAAGAAACAGGGGCTCTCAGTCCTGCTTCGGAAGGCCCCTCAACCACATGATAATGAATTCTCTCACTGGAAATACAAAACCCGTTTACACCATTATCATTTACATCTCAGGATTCATGGAGGATCTAAGTAGAGATCTGGATGGAGAGGTAGACGAAGTGTTTGATTTTGAAGCGATTTGTGGGCAAAGGCAGTAAGGTAAGCATGGATGTGTAACAGGGAAGTACTGAGACAGAATTCTTTGATGTCACTATTTTTCCTGTGTATCTCCTATACTTGTCTCTATATTTAAAGTCTTAAGAATGTTCTGATGGGAAGAGGAGTGTTCATACGGCCTGAGGATGGAACTCAGTCACAGAGACCCAGAAAAATCATAGACATTGATACTAACCATGGCAGCATGCAGGAAAACTGGACAAGGCAAATTAGGGTAATTTGCAGGCCTAGTGGTAACTGACACTAGGATAAATTTGCATCCTGTCTGAGCCAAGAGCACACCTCTCCTCTTTAGCCTGAGCATCCTCCTCTCTAAGTGAGCTCTGGTTCAGATGCAGAGCCTGACCACTCTTTAGCACTCCTAGGAAAGATTAAAAACAGGACTGTGGCTAGGGGCAGGGAGGAGGCCAGGGACCAAGGCACTCAAGTGGGGACTGCAGGAGGGGTCAGAATGCAAGCAGCACTGACGGCCTTCTTCGTGTTGCTCTTTAGCCTGCTGAGTCTTCTGGGGATTGCAGCGAATGGCTTCATTGTGCTGGTGCTGGGCAGGGAGTGGCTGCGATATGGCAGGTTGCTGCCCTTGGATATGATCCTCATTAGCTTGGGTGCCTCCCGCTTCTGCCTGCAGTTGGTTGGGACGGTGCACAACTTCTACTACTCTGCCCAGAAGGTCGAGTACTCTGGGGGTCTCGGCCGACAGTTCTTCCATCTACACTGGCACTTCCTGAACTCAGCCACCTTCTGGTTTTGCAGCTGGCTCAGTGTCCTGTTCTGTGTGAAGATTGCTAACATCACACACTCCACCTTCCTGTGGCTGAAGTGGAGGTTCCCAGGGTGGGTGCCCTGGCTCCTGTTGGGCTCTGTCCTGATCTCCTTCATCATAACCCTGCTGTTTTTTTGGGTGAACTACCCTGTATATCAAGAATTTTTAATTAGAAAATTTTCTGGGAACATGACCTACAAGTGGAATACAAGGATAGAAACATACTATTTCCCATCCCTGAAACTGGTCATCTGGTCAATTCCTTTTTCTGTTTTTCTGGTCTCAATTATGCTGTTAATTAATTCTCTGAGGAGGCATACTCAGAGAATGCAGCACAACGGGCACAGCCTGCAGGACCCCAGCACCCAGGCTCACACCAGAGCTCTGAAGTCCCTCATCTCCTTCCTCATTCTTTATGCTCTGTCCTTTCTGTCCCTGATCATTGATGCCGCAAAATTTATCTCCATGCAGAACGACTTTTACTGGCCATGGCAAATTGCAGTCTACCTGTGCATATCTGTCCATCCCTTCATCCTCATCTTCAGCAACCTCAAGCTTCGAAGCGTGTTCTCGCAGCTCCTGTTGTTGGCAAGGGGCTTCTGGGTGGCCTAGATGGCATGGTTTCCTTATCTAGACCCCCGGAAAAGAAAGGTGAGGATGGCAGAGCTGTGGCCCACTGACATGGAGGTGTTTTCATAGGTAGATGAATACTGGGTACTGTTATGGGGCTCCTCCTCTGGGAAGCGGAGGAGACAAGGAAATCTGGGAACTCTCTGAGCATGCTTCCCTTCTTTGGAATGTTATAAAGATGCAGTCCCATGGATCCCAGAGAGCCAGTATTGCCCAGAAGTTCAGAATATGTTAATATGATGTCGTGCTACTCCTTACGTTTGTACCCCTTTGTTATCTGGAAGGCTTCGATTAAAAGTGTTGATTAACTGTGCCATCGCATCTCCACTGCCTTTCAGAAAGTTAAGAGCAAATATTTGCCTCTATGGCTGAACTGAGATGTGGATAGTGAAGCGACAGCCTTCTTGAGGACAAATGTCATGGTTACTACGAGAGCCCCAAGGGACAGGCAGTTGTGGCAGGCAGTGGCCTGGGCTGTGAGTTCTGATTGCCCTTTACTGCATGAAGATACTTTGTCTCCACACAAACTTGGATAATCTGGTTTTAATTTTATTAAGTTTACTGGAAGGTTTCTTTACACCACCCAGTTTCTTTTCTCATTAACATTTCTGACTTCAATTTTCTCTTCTCTGAAGTCTGAGTAGTAGCCAGACTTTTTTCTTGTTTATCATTCCTTTAGAAAAAGACACATTGTGACTTTCTTGTCTTCCTCAAGCATATGTCACAGAGTCACATCTGCATTGAATAAACATGTACTTTTCAATCTGAAAAACAGACTCAGGAATTTCACTGGACTGGGAGTGGTGACGTCCGTAATCCCAACACTTTGGGAAGCTGAGTCAGGCAGACTGCTCGAGCTCAGGAGTTCAAGAGCAGCCTGGGCAAGATAGCGAGACCTCCTCTCCACTAAAAATTCAAAAAAATCAGCCAGGTGTGGTGGTGTGCACCTGTGGTCCCAGCTACTCGTGAGTCTGAGGTGGGAGGATCACTTGAGCTCAGGAGATAGAGGCTGCGGTGAGCTGTGATCACTGTACTCCAGCCTGGGCAACAGAGTGAGACCGTCTTAAAAAAAATTCATTAGTTTGTATCTAAAAACTACTTAAATATTGTTTTAAAAAGAACCACCCTGTTCAAAATTTTACGTTTAAATACTGTTTTAAAAATAACTTGCTCCAATTACTATGCAAATGATTTTAGAAATACTTTTGGAAAACATTTTATTTAGAGATGAGTGCCTCTAAGATAGCTTAAACGTTTTTGCTAAAGGGCATCAATGTGCAAATTTCAGAGACAAGCTTGCAGCTGAATCCCTGATAGGGAGAAATTGTAATTTCCTCTAAGAGTGAAGACTTTGATTAGGGGATGTACTGATGAGTGGATGAACACTCATGAACAATAATCTTTGGGCACCTGGCTCTACATTTTTAATTTAAGCATTTATTTTTAAAAATACCTAATATATTTTCATGGCTGAAAATTCAAAACCTATTGAAGAGTATGTATAGAAAATCTCCCTCTTATCTGTTCCGTCCTGAGGCATTCTTACCAGTTTTATGTCTATCCTTGTAGAGATATTTTATTCTATCAGAAAGCCACTAATACCTAATGAACCAGTCAACTAACTTATGCACTGGTATATTCTATACTAGTACCTAACTAGCTACCAATCAAATAACTTATAATGTCTCCATCTTTCCATACAATGGTTGCAGAATACACACATTGTCCTGCCCCTTGCTCTTTTCACCTTATAACATATCTTGGAGAGCTATGTAAGTGGATATGCATAGTATTTCCTCACTTGTAAAATTTTTTGCACTGATGTGCCACAATTTCTTTAACTAGCCATGTGTTTGTGGTCATTTAGGTTACTTCCTGTTTTTTGTTGTTATAATAATGCTATAATGAATAATCTTCTGCATATGTAATTTTCCACATGTGCAAACTAACTATGGGAAAAGTCTCATGAAATGGAATTACTGAGTTGAATGGAATGTGCATTTCTAATTCTGACAGATATCACCCTTTATTGGTTTGCATCAATTTACTTTCCCACCAGCAATTTATTAGAGAACTTTTTTCACACTTTCTGTTTTTGCCAACCTGTTAGGTTAAAAAACATTAGCTGTCATTTGCATGACTCTTACTATGAGTGAGTGTTTATAATTATTTTATATGTTTAGAGCCATTTATGTTTATTTACTGTGGACAGTCTATCTTTTTTGGGTTTGGCTTTTGGCCTTTTTCTTATTGGTTTTGAGGAACTCTTTATATCTTAGAGGAATTAGCTCTTTATTTGTGATATAAGCAGCAAAGCAATTCCCTACTCCCAGTGTTTTTTATTTTATTTTTTCTGAATTCTAATGTTAGTTTTAAAAACTCTTTTATTTTGAAATAACGATAGACTCACATGAAGTTGTAAAAATAGCATAAATCTTCATCCAGCTTCCCCCAGTGGTGACATTTTATATAGCTGTAGTATGATAACAAAACTAGAAAACTGACATTGCTACATTACTGTTAGTCTACAGAACTTATTCAATTTTTACTATTTTAAAAACTTACATTTGTGTGTTTGTGTGTGTAGTTCTATTCAATTTTATCCTAGTTAGAGATTTGTGTAATTATAATCAAGATACAGAACTATTCCATCAACATAAAAGAACTCTTTCATGCTACCTCTTTACATTTGTACCTACTTCCTTTACCATATGATGTGGTTTGGCTCTGTGTCTTCACCCAAATTTCGTCTCAAATTGTAATCCCCATGCATTAAGAGAGGGACCTTATGGAAGGTCCTCAAGAAATGAGGAAACTGAGGCTCAGAGAGCAAGGGTGATTGACTCAGGGTTATTGGCTAGTTAGGGGCAGGACTGGAACTGATCTGGAATCTGAGGATCACAAGACCCATTTTCTTCCTGCGACATCCCACTGGGTGATCACTCATGGGCATGGGGAATGTGTCACAGTGGCTAGTGAGGGTAGCACAGGACAGGTTTAACTTATGGGTGGGGAGGAGGATGTCAACAAAGGCTTAGTGTTTGGGACGTCATTCCAGGGGGTCCAGTGGGAGGCCTTGGACTGACACCAGACTTTGTGGGAAACCAGGTTGAAGAGTGCTTGGCAATGTCCAGTGGCCTGGAGGTCCAGTTCACCAAATCAGTTTTCCTCTTTTAGTTTTATCTGCAAAAGGGAAACACCCACCCCATAGTTTTAGTAAGGGTATGAATCTCACACACCTGGACTTTCTACTTTTTCTGCAGCCAGGAGCTAGAGCTGGAAAAAAATCTCTACCAAGTCAGACTCCTTTGCTTCTCTTTTCTCACTTCTAACTAACTGAAAGGTAGAGAGGGCGTTTTCTCTTTTTATTGTATGTTTTTCTAGTTTCTAAACTGAGCCTGATATCTAGAGTTGGGGGACTAACTGACTGACTGAACATCACACTGAGTAGTGGCTTCTTAAAATTCATCCTCTCATCTAGGTGGTGGAGGAAGCCAAAGAACTATAATTTGTGAGGGAAACAGGGGTGGGAATCCTCAGAAAATCATTTCCCTTATTGGCCCCCACCTTATCTGTTCCCAGGGCTTGTATTCCTTTGTGCTGAGATCTCATTCTGAAAGAAGTGTCAGCCAGCACATTCTATAGAACATATATTTTAAAAGTTTATTCTTATTTTTATGAAAGTAGTAGAATCTTATTTTAAAAAATTATAAACAGTACACAAAAATTTAAGGAAAATAAAATGCCTCCATCCTTCTTCATTCTTCTCTCCATTATATATTTTACCAGAAGTAATCAATGTTAATATTAGGTCGGTAATATATAGTACAATCATCCATATATTGAAATATACTTTATGGGATTGTATACAATTTTTTTCATTTATGGTTCATGATTTTATGTGTACCTCAAGAAATCTTTGCCATCCTAAGATCACAAAGATTTTCTTGTTTTTCTAGAAGCTTTATGGTTTTACCTCTTACATTTAGGTTTCTTATCCATTTCATGTTAATTTTGTATATGAAGTGAGGTAAGGATTGAGGTTCATTTTCCCCCTTTATGAATATACAAATGTTTTAGCACTGTTTGTTGAAAAGACATACCACAAATTTTGACAGACAGTATTGTGTTTTAATTTTTATTTAGTTCAAAAGATTTTCCAATTTCCCTTTTCATTTTTGCTTTGGCCAATGGGTTAACCAAACAAGTAGTGTTTAATATCTAAATATTTGTGAGATCTTCCAGTTATCTTTCTGGCATTAATTTCAAATTTAATTCTATTGTGATTAGAGGACATAGTCTGCATGATTTCAGTCTTTTAAAATTTCTTGAGATTTGCTTCATGGCCCACTGGATTATCAGTCCTGATGAATGCTCCATGTGCACTTGAAATGGATGTGTATTCTGCTGACGTTGGATGGAGTGTTCTATAAATGTCAGCTAGGTCCTGTTGGTTGATAGCATTGTTCAAGTCTTCTATATCCTCTGTATCCTTACGGATTTTCTGTCTACTTGTTCATTTACTGAGAGGCAAGTGTTGAATTATTCTACTCGAATTGTGTATTTTTTTATTTTTAATTTTAGACAGAATCTGGCTCTGACATGTAGGCTATGGTGCGTGGCACAATCACAGCTCACTGCAACCTCTGCCCCCCAGGCTCAAGCAATCCTCCCACCTCAGCCTTTGGAGTAGCTGGGACCACAGGCACGCACCACCATGCTGGGCTAATTTTTTAATATTTTGTAGAGGCAGTGTCTCACTATGTTGCCCAGGCTGGTTTCGAACTCTTAAGCTCAAGAGATACACCTGCTTTGGCCTCCGAAAGTGCTGGGATCACAGGCATGAGCCATGGGGCCTGGCCTGATACCTTTTTAAATTTTTGTCCTTTTTTTGCTGCATATATTTTGAAGCTCTGCTGTTAGATGCTTATACATTCAGGAGGTCAAGCTTACTATTATTTTATTTTACAGTGCCTAAACTATTGTTAATTCCATCTAGTGAAATTTAAATTTTACGTATTTTATTTTTCATCTTTACAAGTCTTGTTTAGTTTCTTCTGTTTCTAGGCCTGTGTTTGTTGACCAATCTGTTCCAGGTTATGAATCTTATTTTCCTGATTTTTTAAGGTCTAGTAATTTTTTACTGAATGTTGTAAATTAGAAATCTTAAGTTATTTAATACTTGGTTTTGTTGTTTTCTATTGAAGCATTTTAGACTTTTTCTGACAGTTACTTGTAAATTAGTTTGATGCTTTTGATTTTTTTAAAAGCAAATTTAGGGTAGGTCTATGGTAGTCTTTTTCTAGGGCTACTAATTTTGCTCAACTTCTAAGACATAGCATCTTTGCAACTCATATGGAGTGCTTTGTATATTCAGTAATGTTTCTTCACTCTGGCCAAAGAGTGCTAAAATGAATCCTGGCCCCGTAGGAGTTCTGGGAATTGTTTGTTTTATAGCACTCCAGCATTTTTTCTTTCTTTGGAGATTGTTTTTTTCTCAGTCTTACAGGGTTTCACACTACTCACATACGGATTGGTGTTTAGCCAAGGACTCAAAGACTGATTTCTGGAACCATTTTCCTGTGTAGCTTATTTTTCCCTCTAATCTCCGCATCCTTCACTGAGCAAGATTTCCAGGTCTGTTTAAATTCTCTCTTTGTGCTACAATCTGGATATTGCCTCCTGGCAGAAAATCTGGGTGATTGTAAGAATCACCTCATTATTTTTCCTTCTCACAGTAATCACAGTTTTGTGCTGTTTTTTTCATATCTGAAAACAATGTTTTTAAACTGTTTTCCAGTCTTCTAGTTGCTTGTGGTAGCTGGGTAATTCTGTCCTGTTACTTCTTCACGTCTGGGAGTAGAAGGCCTGTATTATTTTTCAAAATCGATTATTCTATATTCTTAGAGAGTTCTTTTACTTTATCTTTCAACCATCTTACTGATTTTTTAAAAAAGATTTCAGCAATAAGAACGTCCTGTTTAGCCGGGCGCGGTAGCTCATGCCTGTAATCCCAGCGCTTTGGGAGGCTGAGGTGGGTGGATCACGAGGTCAGGAGATCGAGACCATCCTGGCCAACACGGTGAAACCCTGTCTCTACTAAAAATACAAAAAATTAGCCGGGTGCAGTGGCGGGCGCCTGTAGTCCCAGCTACTCAGGAGGCTGAGGCAGGAGAATGGCGTGAACTCGGGAGGCGGAGCTTGCAGTGAGCTGAGATCTAGCCACTGCACTCTAGCCTGGGTGACAGAGTGAGAGTCTGTCTCAAAAAAAAAAAAAAAAAAAAGTAAAAGAAATACCCAAGACCAACTCTTGCCTCTTCTACCTTCTGGTAGTATGGTCTTTCTCAGAATAATTAAAAGCACCATGTTATAGTATCACCCCTCTTCTCTTATTCTTGACTGCTCTTTTAGTCTCTTGAGAATTGCTTTCTCCAGTTGTTTATGGGATACAGTCTGCAGAGCAATGTCTCAGCTGCCTCAAAAAGCAGAAGTCCAAAGCAGAAGGACAAGTGTTATGTTCTTTGATTAGTAATATCCTTGGGTTTCTGTGAATTATTTGGATATTAGGAAAAAGTCCTCTCAGGATATAGTAATTCACTGGATGATTATATTTTAAACATTTTTACAAGTGTTTATCTTTCTTGGTGTTATCACATAGGTTGTATTAGAGTTAAGATCTTTCTGGGGGATCAGATGCCATTTTAACTAAAAGTCAGAGCATGAATTTTTTTTAAGATTATTTTTGAGTCAGGGTCTAGCTATGCAGCCCTGGCTCAAGCTCAGTGGCATGACCGCAGCTGACTGTAGTTTGAACTCCCGAGTCAGGCAGTCCCCCTTCTCAGTCTCCTGAGTAGCTGGGACTGCAAGTGCACTACCACACCCGGCTAATTTTTTTTTTTTAACTAAGTCTCGCTCTGTCGTCAGGCTGGAGTGCAATGGCGCAATCTCAGGTCACTGCAATCTCTGCCTCCTGGGTTCAAGTCATTCTCATGCCTCAGCCTCTTGAGGAGCTGGGACCACAGGCATGTGCCACCACACCCAGCTAATTTTTGTATTTTTAGTAAAGACAGGGTTTCACCATGTTGGCCAGGATGGTCTCGATCTCTTGACCTCATAATCCATCCACCATAGCCACCCAGCAGGCTAATTTTAAAAATTTTTATTTTTAGAGACAGGGTCTTGCTATGGCGCTATGGTGTTCAAGCTAGTCTAAGGCTTTTGATAAGTATAATTAAAGTATCCACTGTCAATATTTTCTTTGTGAATTAAATAGCTTAATATAGTTTATTATTTTAGTTTGTATTTCTTTGTTGCTGAGACTAAATATTTTTTCATATGCTAAATGTTATAGAACAAGTTCTACCTTTGTATTTATTTTACTTCTCCATTTTTCTGTTTGCATGTTCTCCATTTTCCTATTGATTGGTAAGTGCCCTTTAAATTAACGTATAGTGAAATTGACTTTTTGGGGTGTATTAGTTCATTTTCATGCTGCTGATAAAGACATACCCGAGACTGGGAAGAAAAAGAGGTTTAATTGGACCTACAGTTCCACATGGCTGGGGAAGCCTCAGAATCATGGCAGGAGGCGAAAGGCACTTCTTACATGGCAGCAGCAAAAAATGAGGAAGAAGTAAAAGCAGAAACCCCTGATAAACCCATCAGATCTTGTGAGACTTATTAACTACCATGAGAATAGCATGAGAAAGACCAGCCACAATCAACAGAACTGAAATAGTAAGTATTGGTGAGGCTGTGAAGAAATTGGAATCCTTGTTCATTGCTGGTTCTTCGCTGGTGGGAATGTAAAATGGTTCAGCTGTGGTGGAGAACAGTTTGGCAGTTTCTTAAAAAAGTTGAACTTACAATTATCATATGACCCAGTGCTTCCACTCCTGGGTAAATATTCAAAAGAATTGAAAACAGGTATTCAAACAAAAATTTGTACATGAATGTTCATAGTAGCACTATTCACAATAGCAAAAAGGTAGAAACAATTCAAATGTCCGCTATCTGATGATCGAATAAACAAATGTGTTATATCCACACAATGGAATATTATTCAACTATAAAAAGAAGCGAAGCACTACTACATACTACAATATGGAAAGACCTTAAAAACATTATGCTAAGTGAGAAGTTAGACACAAAAGGCCACATACTGCATGATTCCCTTTATATGAAATGTCCCAAACTGGCAAATCCATAGAGACAGAAACCAGGTTAGTGGTGGTCAGGACTGCTTACTGAGTGTGGGGTATCCTTTTGGGGTGTTGAACGTGTTTTGGGGCAGATAGAGATGAGGTTGCACAACACTGTGGATTCATTGACTAGATGTCAATGAATTATCTGCTTTAAAATGGCAAAAACTGTGAATCATGTGATATGTGAGCCTTACCTCAATTAAAAAGTTTTAATAGCAGTTTTAAAGGGTGCTCTTCATTTCCTGTTTTTCAGCCCTTTAGCTTTGTTGCAACAGATTGAGTAAAAGTTTGAACTGTTTTCAGTTTATGTTTTTTCGTTGTTGTTGTTTCTTTGCTTGTTTTGGTTTGTTTGTTTTCTTTTGTGGTCAAGACAAACCAGAGATTCATAATATTTAGTTAAGGAGATGTTTTAGTCTGATTTTTAAAAGATTATTTTAAACATTTTTCAGAATAAAATCATCATGGCTTTGCTTTATGATCTAGGATTTTAGAGCTCAAAAATTTGTGTATTAAAAGAGTGGAACAAAACTATCCCCAATGAGGAAGCCGGATTCTTTCTTTGCTGAATCCCATGGCTCACTCTAATCGTGCATAGCATGGTCTCCCAGTCAGGATGAGCTCTGAGCACAGCCCTCAATGTTCACAAGAGGATATTCTTAGACCTGATTGCATACAAGATGTTTGTTTGAGGTCCCGCATATCTGACTTTCTGGCCAGCAATTTGCCACCACTGCAAATTTGAAAGGGAAACAAGCAGAGGGACGCTCATGTGACTGGCACACAGCCCAGTCACACTCATCAGAGCTGAGAGATCATTACTGTGACTTTGGCTCCAAACCCATGGGTGAATCCCCCACCCTAGTGAGCTGGGCTGGACCATGTGTGAGTTACTAGGGTGGCCTTTGCACCTCTTACCTAAGGCCTGTTTGATCCTATGGGCACAGCGAATTTTGTAACTTAAAGCTTTTTTCCCTCCTTTTCTCACTTACTACAGAAACATATATTTAAATATTTTTACCAAGAAATAGACTTTCTTGGAATACATTTTGTGCACTGCCCTGACTTCTAATTTAATCTTTCTTCCTAATTCATATACACTGGTATATCTTTTCTCCTCCCTCCCCCTTTCTTTCATTTAAGAAAATGAATATATTTCATTTCACTTTCTGTAGGGTGCATGTATTTTTAAGTTGTTGTAATTCACATTGGGAATAAGGCATGGGCCAAAGATAAAGTCCGGATAAAATCCATTTTTCTATTACCTCAAAAGAGAGTAGTACAAATTGTGGTCCTCCCACCTGTTCCCTTACACACACACATACACATGCACACACACACAGATGCACACACATACACACACATGCGTACACACGTTATACTGGAGAGCACAGTCCAATGCCCACTGTTTTCAGAGTGAGGCCTTCTTGTTACTCAAACCACTCTCTAATGTTTTAATTCAGAGCTCCTCATCAGAGCTCGACTCAGAGCTGCCTTCACATCCTTGTTCCGCAGACTGTAGATGAAAGGATTCAACATGGGGGTCACCACAGCATAAGAGAGTACCATCACCTTTTCCTGCTCAGCTGAGGCCATGGAGCGAGGCTGCATGTAGGTAAAGAGGGCCATCCCATAGGATATGGAGACCACAGTGAGGTGGGAGGCACAGGTCCCAAAGGCCTTGCGGTGCCCCTGGGTGGAGTGGATCTGCAGGACGGCAACTACAATGAGGGTGTAGGACAGCGAGACCAGGCAGCAGGGCACCAGCAGCACCACCACACTGGAGGCCACTATGACCACCTGATTGAAGGTGATGTCCACGCAGGCCGACCTGACCAGTGCCAGTGTCTCACAGGCCACATGGTTCAGCACGTTGTGCCCACAGGTGGGCAGGTGCATGGTCAGTGCCGTCTCCATAGCAGAATTAGCCAGGCCCACTAGCCAAGAGACAGCTGCCAGTGCCATGCAGAGCCTTGGGCTCATCACTGCTATGTAACACAGGGGGTCGCAAACAGCCACGTAGCGGTCATAGGCCATTGCGGCCAGCAACAAAAACTCGGTCCCTCCGAGGGCCAGGGAGAAAAAGAGCTGGGTCCCACATCGGGCAAAGGAGATGGTCTTTCTTTGCTGGTGCAGTGCACCAGCATCTGAGGGACCCTGCTGGAGGTGTAGCAGATGTCCACAAGTGAGAGGTTGCAGAGGAAGAAATACATGGGCAGGTGGAGTCTCACGTCCAGCCAGATCAGGAGCAGGATGAGCCCATTGCCCAGCAGGGTCAGCAGGTAGGCAGCCCCAAATAAGATAAAGAGTCCAGCCTGGGTCTGCCTGTCACTGGAGAGACCCATTAGGATGAACTCACTCACCCAGGTTATGTTGTCCCTTCCCAGTTGGGACATTGAACCTCACTTCTTCAATCTAGGTGGTTAGGAGGGAATGCAAAGGTCTTGGAGAAAAGGACATTTGGTTTCTGACACTAAACCAAATTCTGAGAGGTTCTGAAGGACAAAGTCCCTGTTTTGGCCATCCTTTCACGTCGAGGACCGATCACAGTTACAGTTGTGTAGGAGGTAATCTATCAATGTAGAAGGAATGATAGAGAAGAAAGGATGAAAGAAGCAAAGAAAAACTAAGGAAAGACAATAGGAAAATGGAAAAGGAGGGAAGGAATGTGGAAGATATGAAAGAAAGGAAGGATTCTTCACTGTGGGGAAGCAGTGGGTAAAGTATTGTAATCAGACACTTGAGAACTGTAGGCATGTCCTAGGATTTCTCAGCTCATTTCTTAACTCTGGATTGAGCTGCTCTTCCTGCTTCTTCTAGGGTCCACTAAGTCCAGACAGGAATCCTCTCACATCCTTTTCATTTCTCCCACAAGTCCAGATAAAGCTGAAGTCCTTGAAACCAATATCTACTAATCCCCTGCTGGTGTGCCAGGGTCTGTGCCAGGCATTGGTTACCTGCTGGTAAGTAAGAAAGATAGAAACACGGGCCCTTGCTTTCTTGATTCTTATAATTTATCTAGGGACACAGAGATTACATCAATAATTACAAATAATTAATTAAGTATAATTGTGCTAAGTGCTATGAAGGAGAAGAACAAGGTTAGTATTTGGCTAATTAAATTTGGAGCTTTGTAATTAAATTATGACAGTAGTTATGCCTTACTCCTTAATAACATGCAATTTATATAGTGAGTTTCAGGCATTTATTTAGATGTTTAAACAAATGATTAACAAAGTAATGTTGTGATGCAAGCGTTCGAAAACCAATGATACTCATGTATTACTACTGAGTATGAGGTGATAGAAACCCACAGAATCTTTTCAAACAGAGTGAATTCTCCCTTGTCAGCCAAGGTTGTACCAGTTCATCTCCCTTCTACCATGCTGACTGGTCCTCTTGAAAAATAAAATTAAGTGCCATCACTTTTTCTTAATATAAATATAATCTCCAGATGTATTTCCTGCTCTTAAAAAATTTAATTAACAAACTGATTCATTTATTAAAACATTATTGAGTATATCAGGCACTATGCTTTCAACCAACCTCTAGGAAATTCCACCTTTCAATGTTAGGGATTTGTGTTTAGAAAATCAGCAGTGCCAGAGGATCAAATAATAAATTTTTAAAAATGGATTTTGGTCAAATCTGAGAATCTAATGAGAGCATGTTTGTGCAAGCCACTACAGCCAGAGGACAAATGCCATACATCTGCATTAAGAAAATGAGAGCAGAACCACAGAATAAAATGCAAGAAAGCTGAAATGCATAATTCAATTTATGTTTCTTCTGGCTGGAAACATTGGTGGAGGGAGAGAGCAGAGAGGACCTGGATGGAGCTGGCATCTTGTCTCCATTCAGCCCTGGTCCTGCAGTGGCCAGAAGGTGTCACTGTAGAAACTGCTAAGAATAGAAACTGGCCTTGGGTTCTCAAGGTTGGAGATCAGGTTCTAGGGTCAGAGCCAGGGGCTGGAATTTTGACTGCTGCCCTAGGGAGATGGTTCCCTTGTATCAGCAGAAGTAGATCAATGCTGATCTACTATGATCAGTATGCTGCTTGTTACTATAGACAGAATCTTCACCTTCAGAGTTGGCCTCAAGGATTGAGATACCCTCCAGAAGGTAACCACAACTGTTTAAAATGAAAAGAAATATAGGGGCTAAGTGTTTCATTCCTTTCATTTTATAAACAAGGAAACCAAGGAATAGGGCTACGGTGATTTGCCCAGGTCTCAGATCTACCTGGAGACTAAGCTGGAACAAGGGTCAGGGCTGCCCTGCACATCTAGCTCTACCCAAGCCCATGAGTGAAGGGTGGGAAGGAGTTCTGAAAAGCTGTAGTCTAGGAAGGGAGGCACCTGAGGAACCTCAGATGGGAAGCTCAGGACAGCCATCTATCCTTGAAGAGAAAGACATGTGGTGTGGGGGTAAAGCTTTAAATAAGTCAAGGGGTCTGAGTTTGAGTTTGCCTCTTCCATTAGTCTGCTATGTGCAACTTACTAGACCTCTATGAGCCTCAGTTTCTTCATTTGAAATGCATGAATAATAATAATGCTTATCTCACAACATTTTAAGTAAGATCAGATGAACAAATGAATATGAATGTGCTTTGTAAAGTATAAGTAAACGTAAGTGGCTGTTACTATGCTCAACAAGTCCAAATTACAGAGGTAAAGTCTACCCAGTGCCATGGGGACAAGAAACAATAGAATATGTGCTATAAACGTCAGAAAGTTTTCAGAATGTGGGTCATAAAGCCCCTTGAAATGCATTATATTGCTTAAACCACCTAATTACAGAGACCCTGTTAAATATAGTGAAGAATCAAAGTAGAGGGTTCACCTGTACTCAGTGAGTAGGTAGTACATGCTCTGCACACAGTGTGAACTTAGTACTATTTTATTCCAATACATTTTGGTGATGTTTTTAGATGATGAAAAACTATTTTTATTGATAGATGGCCTCGTTCTTAGCTTTTTGGGACAGAGAATTTTATTCCACTTTTCTCACCTTGGTAAACATGTACTGAGCACTGTTCAGCGCCTGGTCCAGTGGAAGGTATTGGGATAACAAATCAATCAGTCTGGTCTCCTGCTTAGGAACTCAGCCTGCAGGGAGAATAGAAAGAGTGAGTCATCATGACCTTATCAGGGGAGTTTTCAGAGGAAGCTTGATGAAGACATCTGGTAAGAGGAGACATAGAGTCTGGCTATGTAATCAGCTCAGCAGATCTGTAGAAATAATAAAGTAGAAACAAAAAACAAAACAAAACAAAAACAAGAAATAGTGCTCTTGCCTCTTAAAAAAGTAGATGAGGTTTAAGGTATGCTAAGATTCATATAAGGAGGCCTGGGCTTCAAGCTGTATCAGGAAACCATCTACGTATCCATTGGGTACATTGCTACATTTTAAAGCCACAGTTTCTTCATCTACAGAATGAGCAAGTTAGATTAGGTACATTAAGATTTCTTCCAGCTCTAAAGATTTGTGATAAGTGAATATACATAATCTGTGGTTTAAAGTAGTATAGAAGGGAAAAATAGATCCTTTGGTGTTTGATTGCTCTAAGCATGCATAGCTAGTGGGACTGTAGGCAATGAGATATGAATTAGTGGGTTTTGGGTTCAAAGGATTCAGATCTCACACATAGCTGATTGGGGAGGTGTCAATGAACGGGACTAATTGACTCAAAACCAGAGACTAAGGAAACGGGGAAGAGGACTACACCAGTAGAAATGGCAAAACTACTTGGGCCAAGGCTGAAAGGCTGGTAGCCTTCTGATACGTAAGCCTCCTTCCTAAGCACTGCAAAAGAAACTACCATCAGAGTGAACAGGCAACGTACAGAATGGGAGAAAGTTTTTGCAATCTACTCATCTGACAAAGGGCTAATATCCAGAATCTATAATGAACTCAAACAAATTTACAAGAAAAAAACAAACAACCCCATCAAAAAGTGGGCGAAGGATATGAACAGACACTTCTCACCATCTTCTTTATCAAGAAAAGATGAAGGTCTATGTCTATCTTTGGTTCTTATACCAATCCAAGCCCTTCTCCATTCCTTCTTATCTCCAACAGAATAGAAATGCCTCAAGGCCAAGAAAAGAGTCATCTCCCTTTTGACTTCCATTCTTTAGTTTTTAAAATGTATATCTACATATACTGAGCACTTCAGTTTATGCTGTTGATTTGGTGACTGACAAGAACTAGGACTCTATCAAGTGGCTTGAAAACACTGATTTATATCATCTAGGTCACGGGAGGAATTCAAAGAGCCTCCAACTACAACCAGTGAGAAAAACAGTGGAGGATCACAAAACAGTCCCGGGTGCTCCCAGGAATTTGGGCTTTATCCTCCTACCACCTCCTCTTAGCCTTCCTTGTGGGTGACTCACCAAGGCTGAGTGCTCACTTCATGCACAGGACATTTTGAATGTGGAGATGTACATCTCTTAGAAAGTCCTTGATACAGTTGTTCATCCTCTTCTTCGTGATGCAGGCTTTACTTTGTCAGTATTAGCTGATAACTTTTCAGAATTTAGGCATCCCCAGAGGGAAATTACTTGCTCTTGGTGTGTTTCTTACTCATTCTTCCCCACAGCTACTTCTCTGCAACCACAGCTCCCTCCTCTACTAAGTTCCCTGTGGAATACATATTCTAAAAACATTTTATTTCAACTTTTAATTGTCCTTCTAGTTCCTAGCATAATGAGCCCTTCTGTAACTCTTTTATATCTTTTACTGCCCTTCAATGCTGTGGCATCACTGAGGACTTTTAGTAGAAGTTGGGATTCAGAAACATTTACTTTTCTGACCTGGTGAGAAGGGACTGAAAGTAATTGAGATAGGAAAGAGAAACTAAAATTTTAGAACCTGGTCTCCTTCCTAAAGGAAGAAAATGAAAGCACCTTCACCCCTCCTCCCACACACCTAGTTTTAGTGACAGTGACATCTAGTTTTAGAGTGGTGAGGACACATCGCACATTAGAATCATCACATCCATGGCCTGGGAGCCATTGAGAAGTCTCAAGTTCACAGTCATTAAAATAGTTCTGCAGGTTCTTTGATGGTCTCCCACATCACATTCCTGTTGTGTTTCCTTTGCATATTTTCATATTACTAGAAGTTTTTTCTTTATCAGCTTTCCTAATACTGATCTCCCGGTTCTTGGCCATCTTCCACAAAGTTTTAATTTCTTCACTGGAATTACTAGAAGGAGCAGAGGAAACAATGGGTCAGGATGAGGTTTTATTCCCAATATTTAACTATTTATTTCTATAGTAATAGAACATGAGTCTTTGGTAAAATGGGGAGAAAAAAGAGAGACATCAGTGTGTAACCCACTAAATTTTTTTTATAACAATTGGCCAATATTGCAAGATAAAGGTTTACTTACCTGGAAGATTTGTCATTGTAATGACAATGGACTAGGGAACTGTTGTTTAACTTCATGCTCTTCCCCTTTGGGCAAGACCTGAAGAATCTTGGGTTTATCTTTGCTGCTTCCACTGCCCAGGTAAGCTCAGGACCTCACAGGGCCTGAAGCTTTCCCCACCTCAAGGTCTGTGGATGGAGAAAACTGCTAGAACTTCTGACTGAGAGTTGTAGCCAAAGGTTAAGGAGGAGAGCAGCAGTAAAAAGAAAACCAAGGGCACCATGAGGGGGAAGAAGAAGAAAATGACATCTGAGAGGTGGGACCCCTGATGCACTTCAAAGGCAGACTCGGTATGAGCTGACACAGATGACTCCAGTGTAAAGGAAAAGAACTGTTGGGAACCATCCTCCACACTACCTCCTACTCTCATCTAATAAGAATGTTTCCCTGCTGGTAAAAAAGAAAAATGCATCCTTCTTACTTTTCCAAGCACTAAGGTTACAGAAAATATGTAACTAGATTTTTTTTTTTACAAAGTAGGTTAGAAAATAGTAGGAAATATAATATATATACAGTTGGATGTATATAAAGATTGAAAAGTAGAAAAAGAACAGGCAAGATGACCATAAAATGTCAGTGGGTTAATCTCTGGGTGATAGGATTATAGATATTTTTGTTTTCTTATTTTTAGCTTATCAATATTGATATGGCTTGAATTTGTGTCCCTGCCCAAATCTCATGTCAAACTGTAATCCCCAGTGTTGGAGGAGGGGCCTGGTGGGAGGTGATTGGATCATGGGAGCAGATTTCCCTCTTGTTGTTTTCCAATAGTGAGTTAAGTTCTCACAAGATCTGGTTATTTGAAAGTGTGTGGCACCTCCCCGCTGTCTCTCTTCCTCCTGCTCTGGCCGTGTAAGATGTGCCTGCTTCCACTTCGCCTTCCACCATGATTATAAGTTTCCTGAGGCCTCCTCTCCATGCTTCCTGAACAGTCTGTGGAACTGTGAGTCAATTAAACCTCTTTTCTTAATAAATTACCCAGTCTCAGGTAGTTCTTTATAACAATGAGAGAACAAACTGTTACAAATATTTTTAAATGTTTATAATAAACACATATTTTTTCTCTCATAGGAATCCAAATGAAATTTAAAAAATTCACATATCTGATATAGACGTATCGCATTGAGATAGTGATATTAGGAAATGAATTTGCTGTCTTAATGCCTGGCACTACTGAATAGCCTTTGGGCAACATAAGTGAGCATTCAAGGAAAGATACAATTAAAACTGTATCTCAGCAAAGTAGATATAACTATAGGTTTTCGACTATTTATACCATAAAAAATAAATCTGGAAATATTCTATGGTGGCAAACACCCTGGACTAGAGGCAGGACAATGGGTTTTACTCCGGCTTTGGTACAAATTGCTCTATGACTTTTGACAAGTCACCTAATCTCCCTGGGTCTTAGTTTCTTTGTTTGTGAAACCAAATGGTGGAATTGGACCTCAAGGTCCTGCAGAAGTCTGTGTTTTTCAGTGTGTGCATTACAACATTTTCCTTTCATTCTAGGTACTAGATTCTGAGGTCTGAGACTAAAGTCATTCCATCATGAGTTCCAAACTGGACTTGAGAGGGGAAGAATCATTTCCTTTGAGATTGACCAATACCAGGAGTTTCACTAAAGAAGGCAATGAAAGACCCACAGCCTTGGACATAATTGATTTCCTGTGATATCTGTGTGGGCCCAGGCATGCTGCTCACCTGGGTCTTTCCCCTCTTTCACTCCTTTGGAACTGCCCCACCACTAACCACTTTCCTACTCTCTCCTTCCCCACCCCAGTATCTCCTTGCCTCAAGAGTTTCCTGTTACTAGCAATAATTTAGTTCACTCCCAGGGAACTACTATTTCTGGTTCTCAGTTACTAACCTTTCCATTCAGTTCTTTCCATTCCATTTTTACCAGAATTAACGTTTCCTCATCTTTCCCAGTGAATGTAAAAGGTACCTTCTGGGAAGCATTTTACCGGAACTGATGACTGCTATGCTTGACAGCAGCTTCAACAGCCTCGGATACAACTCATCATGAATTAGCTCTGGCATGACTGAGTTAGAATACTGTTCTGTTTCCTATCTCTACATGTAGGAAAAATTTAAAGTGGCATTTCTATGCTTTGGTCTTTTCTCATAAATGACTTAGGGGAAAACACTTAATGAGGATGAGTAACTAAAATTCAATGAATACTAAAAGCTTTATAAGAATCATCTAATTGAAACTTTACATAATTTCCTTATTATGTATTAACATTGAACGGGCATTATGCATTCCATTTCTAGAAAAGAAGTCTTTCCTTAATAAATTACAAGTGCAAACATGAAGTCCAGGACAATTTTTACTTCAAGATCAACTTGTCTATATGCTAGGATAATGAATTTGAATACTCTTTACTGATGTTCCCTGAAGACGTAGCTATTTTGTTTTCTATAATGATATTATTTTCTTGAGTCTCCATTCTGTTGGGTACTGTAGAAAGAAGACAAAAAGCAAACAATATAATATACCAATTAAAGGTATCTTAGTTTTTTTACAGTATAAATGGTCTCTGTTAACTTAAAATGATCTTTCCAGGTAAATATTTAATTAATTTGAAGTTCTACCTTATATCAGAGTGGTATATTTCTTTTTCTTCCTTATCAACAGGGCTTCTGGGCATAAGACAAAACCTGATAGTACTGACTTGTGGGGCTTTGAATGGATATGTAGAATCACTCTTGTTTTGTGCTGGTCCTGGTGCTGGCTTCTGCAGCTGGACAACCACTCGAATCTTTGCTTATTCACGTGGCAGGTTTCTGTTGAGACATAGTTTATGTGGATCCAACCTGTGTCATCCACTGTTGGAGGCTGTGGCCAAGGAACCCATGGACTGTTTGTTGTCTTGGCTTTGTCAAGGCTTGGTGGCCATCTTCTTGTTGAAATGGTCCCACTTCTGGTTTTCCAATGCTGTGATTCCCCCAAACACACACACATCACCTCCCAGACATGACTGATTTCTTCTGGAGCCCTGAGTTGGGAAGTCCATTCTGTAGCTCTCAGTGATATGGCCACATTTTCTCCACCAAGCTGATCCCCTCTGGCATGTTCTTTGGTTGAGCTCCCAGCTGCTTCCTGTATCTGCACCTCCCATTCGAGACAAACAGGAACTTGAGGCATGAATTCCATATTCTAGGGAGCCAGGAGCATGCTCAGATTGGCTTGCCTGCCATCCTCTTTCACTGCTGCTTTTCTATCGTCCCTCAACATCTTTGGAGTTTCTAGGTCACCCTGAACAACAGTCTCTTGGTAGGGCTCTAAATGGGGATCAGGAAAGTATTTCCACCTTTGGCCTCTTCTTATCCTATCTCTTCATCCTCAGGGCCTCAGTCCCTTGGAGGGCTGTTTAGAACACATATATTTGAATGTCTGCTTCTTCTACCTTTCTCTTCCTTTATTTATTCCCAAGTCTGTGTCAGAAAGAGAAGGTTTTGCCCTCTCATGAAATGGAAGATTTCCCTTATGTCATATCCTGAGTTCCCTAGTTTATCAAAATCTCAGTGTTCAAATCCAAAGGTTGTGGGTTTTGATGTAGGTGCCTCAGGGCTTCAGAAATTTGGAATTAATAAAGAAAATATAGATTGATCTGTTTTTCTCTAAGTGTTATCCTTGTGCCTGCAATTCTCCATATGGTGTCCATCTTGGACAGAGAATTGGGCATCTCTTCTCTTCATTATTCAGCTCGTCCTGCTGAAACGCAGCCAGGACAGGGCACACCGCAGCACCAAGCAGCTACAAGGTAATCAGATTCTGAGCACTAAACCCAAGGCACATGGAATATTTTCCTTTTCTTTTTCTTATTTTATTTTATTTTATTTTATTTTATTTTATTTTATTTTTTTGAGATAGAGTCTTACTCTGTCAACCAGGCTGGAATGCAGTGATACAATATTGGCTCACTGCAGCCTCCACCTCCTGGGTTCAAGTGATTTTCCTGCCTCAGCCTCCAAGTAGTTGGGACTACAGGCACCCGCCACCATGCCTGGATAATTTGTGTATATTTGGTAGAGATGGGGTTTCATCATGTTGGCCATGCTGGTCTTGAACTCCTGACCTCAGGTGATCGGCCCACCTTGGCCTCCCAAAGTGCTAGGATTACAGGCTTGAGCCACCGCACCTGGCCGATGTGGAATATTTTTCTAAAGCAGCCTATTTGATTCTTTTTGAAAGGCCCTTCTCAGTTTCCCCAGCCTGATACGGGCTCGGCTGTAAAGATGGGACAGAATCTGTGTCATGTCTCAGGAGTGAGGAAAAGAAAATGTTATTCTGTCACATTCAGAACAGTTCTACAAGGTGGACACAGACTGGGCCAGAGGTAGACAACTGGTAAAGAGCCAGCCAAGATGAAAATTGGGATATACCCGATGTCAAATTTCAAATATTGGGCATTTTTCACTAGACCATGCTGCCTCTCACATTCCTTTCTAAAAGAAACTGGTTGCAAACGGCCAGGTGCAGTGGCTCACGCCTGTAATCCCAGCACTTTGGGAGGCCAAGGTAGGCAGATCACGAGGTCAGGAGATGGAGACCATCCTGGCTAACATGGTGAAACCCCGTCTCTATTAAAAATACAAAAAATTAGCTGGGTATGGAGGTACGAACCTGCTGTAGTCCCAGCTACTTGGGAGGCTGAGGCAGGAGAATCACTTGAAGCCGGGAGGTGGAGGTTGCAGCGACCTGAGATCATGCCACTGCACTCCAGCCTGGGAGACAGAGTGAGACTCCATCTCAAAAAAAAAAAAAAAAAAAGTGGTTGCAATGGAAGAAGGCAAAGGTCTCTTTATGCTCTGGCATTGTGGAATTCCACACAGAGGTTTGCAAAAGCAGAAGCAGTGTCTTTCTGCTGTCAAGATCTTTTCCATGACTGAATTAAGCAAAATGACGTGTCTTAATACTCAAAAGGAGCAGAGAAAAGAGTTCTGGCTGGGTGTTTCCTGCTCTTTAGATAGAGTTTGCTTCCTGGCCTTGAGTTAAGGAAGCTGACTCGTTTTTATTTCTAGAGCCTTCTGGCTCCCCTCCAGGCCTAAGCATTTGCCTCAATTTTTCCCTAACAGTTTGGACCTGGTTATAGGCTGAATAATGGCCCTGCACATGTGTCCACCTTCTGTCCTAATCTCCCAAGTCTATGACTGTTATCTTCTATGGCAAAAGGGATTTTTGCAGGGGTGATTAAGTATTTTGAGATGAGGAGATTATCCTGGGTTAGCCAGGTTTGCCCAATATAATCACAAGGGTCTTTAGAGAGAGAGGCAGGAACACCAGCATCAGATCTTTCTGCCTCCGTCTTCTCTTTAGGGCCAAGCCCATATCAAGCTGGGGAAACCGTGAAGGGCCTTTTACAAAGAATCGAACAGGCTGCTTTAGAAAACTACTCCACATGCCTTCTGTTTAATGCTCACAATCTGATTATGTTGTAGCTGCTTGGTGCTGCGGTGTGCCCTATCCTGGCTGCATTTCTTCATTCCCTCCCCTGCCCACATACATCCACAGCCCCAGTCGGCTGTATCCATGAAGAGCTGAATGGAACAGGATGACTGGCAGCCCACGCCAAAGGCCAAGAGATGTGAAGGTAGAAGCAAGAAGTTAGAATGACCTGAGGAAGAGGTCACAAGCCCAGGAATGCCAGCAGCCACTAAAAGCTGAAAAAAGGCAAGGAAATGAGTTTTCCTCTGAAGCTGCCAGAAGGAACAAGCCCAGCCAATGCCTTGACCCTAGCCCAGTAAAATTGATTTTGAACTTCCGACTTCCAGAACTGTGAGAGAATACATTTACGTTGTTTTAAGCCACAAATATGTGGCAATTTGTTACAGCAGCAATGGGAAACTAACACAGATTCTAATCTCTTTTCTTACTCCCATCCCAGGTTGCCCTGGGGTTAATTCATGATTAAAGATCCTCCAGCTTTGTTCTCTATACTTTCTCTTGTCTTCTTGAGTCTGATCTCCTTCTTGCTCTCCAAGTGCTTCCCCCACTGCACATCAACAAGAACATTTCTGCTTCTTACCTGTCTCTGTCCCCTGCTCTAACCCATGAGGAGTCAGAAGCAGTCTAGTGGGGGCCAGGCAGGGGAGGGAGGTGAGGAAGCTAGGAAGGTTAGAGAAGAGAGAAGAAGCCAACATTCCCCACTTTAAGCTTTTGGGGTTGGGAGTCAGAAGAAGCTTTATCTTAAAACAAGGTTTAGAGGTTTGATTTTACCTTGGGCTGGATATTTTTAAGACTGCAGTGAGAATGTTTTGGGGACTTAAGGCGAATGAAAACGTTTTGATTTTTTGGGAGGAACTAGAACATTCATGCTACTTGTTATGGATTTAGTCCAAGGCACAGAGAAGGACTAGCCCCATAGTGCAGGTTTGAGTGTATGGAGATGAGAAAGAACACAGCACTTTTCTGATTACAGTTTGTGAATTCAGCTTGTTCAGTAAACCAGTTCCCCTTAGTTTCTACAATAGATTTGAGATCTTGTGGTCTGGGACCTGGGAATTCCATCGTGGCTGTGATATTTTCGCAAGATTTTCAAATCTTTTTCAGTATCACATGCACTCTGTGTAGCGGAGGTTGTTTCATCTACTTAGCCCACCAAGACCCCTCTGGAGGCTGCATAGCCTGGTGGCTAAAGGTGTAGGTTCTAGACCCTGAATGTGCAAGTCTGAATCTTTGTTCCTACCTTGTGCCTTTGCAGCAATGGGCAAGTTAAAGTCTCTACTGCCTCAGTTTCTTCTGATGTAAAATGGGGAGGATGGTAATACCTGACTCACGGGCTTTTGTGAAGATCAAATGAGACGATCCATGCAGAGCACTTAGCACAGTGTCCAGTCCATGATAAGCCCTCAGTGAATAGTAGATATTTTTATGTTGAAATGCTTTGAAGAGTTTAGAAGAAAGGTGCCAGTCAAGCCAATGCTAGAAACAGAGATTAATTTTTATTTCCTCACACATTTACTTCTATCCTGCTGTGCCTTGTAAACTGAACATTTTCATATTTTTCTCCTTCGCAAAATACAAACTGTTCCAACAGTTCTCTGCCTCAAACCTGAAGTGTTTTATGCCATCCTTGGTAGGTTGTGAGAGATATTTTGGAAGCACCTTTTTAGAAGCTCTGTTAATTGAAACTATTCCTCAAGCTTTGCAATAAATGCAGAAAGTTTCAGTG
Source organism: Homo sapiens (assembly GCF_000001405.40). Classification (NCBI taxonomy): domain Eukaryota; kingdom Metazoa; phylum Chordata; class Mammalia; order Primates; family Hominidae; genus Homo; species Homo sapiens. The sequence goes on from NC_000007.14 coordinate 143,501,635, forward strand.
CTCCCTCACATCCTGGAAGCTGACTGTAGCCTGTAGAGGGCTACTGGGTTAAGCCCTCTACAAAGGTGACGATAGAGTCCAGTTCAGGAAGCCATCTTCTGGCCAGGTAGGGTGGACATGGGCACACTGGAGCCAGAGGGAGGTCAAAAGAGGGTAGTGAGTGTAGGGGCCAGAAATGATTATCCAAGAGTAAATTGAGGTCCAGAAGCTGTTCAGAGGCACAGGAGCCCTTTTTCATCTTGTCTTTGTTCCTGTTGATAGTGAATATACAGCAGCTGTCTTGAAGATGGAGAAGGAAAGTGAGGGGTGCTGACTGAGAAACTGCCTTACAGACCTCCTTCCTCTCTCCATCTACCTCTAAGTCAAATGAAAAGGAATCCAGTGAAATTCTCCCAGCTCCCTTAATAAAGATGACTCTCCAGCTCTCATCTTGCTAGGAGAATGTTCCACTTCTTTTTCCACAAATAAAAATAATTTATGTTTGTACAGTGCTTAATTTCAAGAAATTTCATAGATATTATTTCATTTGAGGAAGGAGAGAATTGGGGCTGGGTTAGGCCACACAAGCCTGGCTCAATGTCAAGTATTTCCTAAATGGAGACAGAGGTCTGACTCTAAGCTTTATATATGACACTGGTTAGATTTTAGAGTTTTTTAGTTTTTTGAGTTGTGGTGGGAGAAGCACTATAATCATTATTAATATAGCCACCATGAAACATAGATTTAAAATTCTGCTCTGCTAGTTTGAGGTAGCATTAAGATCAGTAGAATGATTTTGAAGGTTTCTGCTTATCAAAGAAATGTTTAAAGAAGAAGAAGTGTGGGTGTGGTGGCTCACACCTGTAATCCCAGCACTTTGGGAGGCTGAGGCGGGTGTATCACCTGAGGTCAGGAGTTTGAGACCAGCCTGGCCAACGTGGTGAAATCCCCTCTCTACTAAAAGTACAAACATTAGCCAGGTGTGGTGGCACACACCTGTAGTCCTAGCTGATTGGGAGCCTGAGGCAGGAGGATCACTTGAACCCAAGAGGCAGAGTTTGCAGTGAGCTGAGATCACACCACTGTACCCGAGCCTGGTTGACAGAGTGAGACTCCATCTAAAAAAAAAAAGAAAAGAAAATATCTATTTCAAACATCTTTAACAAACAATTTTAAGGTATCTAGGCTGTCTAAACATTTATTCTAAAGTTCTCTCTACGAAAAACAATCTAGACTTTATAAAAGATTAGTAAATCTAACCTATTATAAAAATAGTTAAGTTTATAATACCAAGTTAAATTTTTTAGGATCTATATGTGCTTTTTATGATTGGGACACTTGCATTAAGAATAGTACTGCTTATACAGATTTTATTAAAGAATTAGACTTATTTCACTACTTTATTTCAAAGATTGATAATACTTTTATTTTGGTGTATTTTTGGCCATATAGAGGATTAATTTAATGGTAAGTTTTAGTCAGAAAACCAACCTTCTATCATATTGTCCTTATAGGAAAATACAATGAACGATATCATGTTGTACTCTTTGATAACATAGTTTTCTAGGAATATTCTGGGTAAAATGGTTTAAATAATTTGGGAGTAAATTTCTTTTGCTGAAGCTTTTAATTTCAACTACTCATGCAGCAAAATATTTTGCCAAAGTCCAATGACTTTCAAGTTTAATAGTGGCATTAGGTAAAGCTGAAAATAGGCCTATATTTTGTGAACATAATCACATTATGACTGAACCTCCTTAGACTTCCTTCCCTAGCCTTGTGGCCAGGATATAATTGCATCCGTCATGGGCCATAAGTCCCAGTGCAATGACGGGTAATTGATTTTGATGTGGAGGTTGAGGGGTGAGAGAGGGAGGGCTCCTCCCACACCACATTGCAAGCCTTCCTAAAAATCACCCAGACATCTTTGATGTCCTGAAATCCCTTTCCCCATTACAGCTGACTCCTTCCCAGTAACTCAGGCTTCCTCACTTAGATGCCTATGCATGATTCTGCTCCTGGACAGGGTCATGTGTTGAGGCAGGCATCTTATGGAGAGAAGGATGTGATGGAGCACTGAGCTTCTCAGGGCTGAGGGTCTGGTATCTGACTCCCCAACATCATATATTGTTGGTCACTAGCAGCGGAACTGTGGCGTCTTCACTAGAGCAGTCCCTCTATATGCTGTGCCTTGGTTCCTGGCTTCATCTTTGCCCAACTCTATTGTCCTCCTACAGATTCTGTGGGTCTTTCCCTAATAAATGATTTTTTCTGTTTAAATAACTCTGAAGGGATGTAAGTTTTAAAAAAGCCACCAAAATTCTCATTGACCCTGTTAACTTCAACTTTACTTCTAAGCCAGTTCTTAGCCTTTCCAAGTACTTTACTAGTCTTCCCATCTCAGAATTTCCCAATGTACAGGAAAGAGAGCCAGAGGGCAGTTCAGCAAAACAAAATCACAGCCACCTCGGGATCCCCAATTTGTCCAGGGACAACAACAGTAGCAAAGATACGAGGTCTTGGAGAGAAACCCTCCCAGAACCCACACAAGCAGAGGTGGAAAAGGTAGACTGGAAACCTGGTTTCTTCTTTTCCTGCTGTTCCAACCAGCAAGCCCCTTGCCCAGGCCCTACCAAATATATACCCATTTTTCTTCCAAGGTGTGTCCTTTCAAGGTATGGGGCCTGCAGTATAAAGCTAGTGATTTTCTTTGCTTAGAACAGCTCTGGGACTTCTGCACTGATTCTGCCTACCGGAAAACATCTGCTATTAATAATGCCCTACTAATAGTAGCTAACAGTGCCAGGCACTGTTCTAAGCATATTTCCTATATTAGCTGTGATTATCACAACCCTGTGAGGCAGGTGCTAATGTCAACTCCAGCTTATCCACTGAAGACTCAGAGGCCCAGAGAGGTTAGAGGAACTTGTCCAAGGTCACAGTCAGGAACTTCAGGGGTCAGAATCCAGATCCAGGTAGCCTGGCTCAATGCCCCTGTGCTACGGCACTGCCACTTTTCTCTCCGAGGCCCAGCCCTGCCTCTACAGGTGCTGTGCTCCAGCAACGTTCAGGTGAGGCACTTTACTTTTCCCTTTGTGATGTGTGCTTTAATGATAATGAGACAAGATGGATTAAATTCACTTTCATGATTGTTTCCCAGAAGGCAGCAACTGCTTTCGGGAGCAGCTGAAGGCTGGAGATAACATGGACCTCCATGGTGAGTCAGTAAGACCCATCAATCAGGCACAGCCAGGGGAGGAGGCAGACACTGCAGGGAAGATGGCCACCAGGAGCAGCTGAGGGATCCAACTGCTGGATTAAGGGAGATTGTGTGGTTAGGAGGCCTCCCCTCCCATTGTAAGATGAAGGAGGTACATTTGTCCATTGTCAGGAGGATCATAGAAAATCTTAATCTCCACTATGTGGGACTGGTACTTCAGAAGCTCCAGGCAAAGACTTAAGTCATTAATAGGCTTAATATAAAGGCTTAGCTGTTACCTACAACTCAAATATCTTGGAGAAATGTTGCCCCCCAAAGGGCTACACAAATATTACTTCTCTAAGTGAGCCTCAGCTTAGATGTGGGAAATGGTCTTATATGCAGAGAAATTTCATTAAATTTTAATAAGTATTTTTCCACATTTACTTCACCTTTTCTTTTTTCCTTCTGGATAGTGGTGTTCTAGTTCCCTCCCTACAGCCCCCTTTTAACTGTCCACTTGTCCAGTTACCCACCTTCTGTAGGAAGTATTCATTGACTGGGAACTGCAAACTCGGTGATCTAGCCACTTCCCCTCAGTTGAAAGTTGCTATGTCAAGAAAAAGAACCTGTGCAATTAGAATAATTGGAACTTTCCTACCTTAAAGATGTTCATATACCTGGGTTCTAAGCATGGGAGATAGTAGTGGTAAATAATGTATGAGCTCTCTGAGGAGGTAGGTGAAGATGAGATCTGGAACTCAAGGAGGGTTAAATTTAAGCAGAAGCAGGGTAGCCTCTTCCACTGTGAAGGACTGGAGTAATGATTAGAGGGCGGTGACTGTCAACCTTGACTACACCTTAGAATCACCTAAAGGGAGTTGTTGAAAACCCCAATGCCTGACTTACACCAAGACCAAGTGATATAATTAGGCTTTGTGTCCCCACCCAAATCTCATCTTGAATTGTAATCCCCCAAATCCGCATAATCTCTCCAAGGGAGGGACCAGATGGAGATAATTGAACCATGGGGGTGGTTTCCCCCATGCTGTTCTCGTGATAGTGAGTGTGTTCTCCCAAGATCTGATGGTTTTATAAGGGGCTCTTTCCTCTTCTCTTGGCACTTCTTCCTGCCACCTTATGAAGAAGATGCCTGCTGCTTCCCCTTCACCTTCCACCATGATTGCACATTTCCTGAGGCCTCTCCACCCACGCTGGACTGTGAGTCAAATAAACCTCTTTTTTTTTTTTTTTTTTTTTGCAAATTACCCAGTCTTGGGCAGCTCTTTATAGCAGTATGAAAATGGAATAATACACTAAGCAAATCAGAATCTCTGGTGTCAGGCTCAGACTTCAGTAGTTTTAAAGGTCTTTGGGTGATTCCAGTATGCAGCCAAGGAAGGAGCCCACTGATATAGCAGTATAGCAGGGCAGCAGAGGATGAGGCCCGTCTGAGTTTGGATCCTACAGAATTATAGTGGCCCTGTTATAGAGTAATGAGATTTGTCTTCAGAAGTATTGAGCACTCACAGATTTGTATTAGAGATGTCAGAAAATCGGATTGAGGTTTGTAAATTGGGTGTGTAGAACACAGACAATGGAGTTGAGAGTGTTGGCTCAAATAATTAAACATTAGTCTGAGAGATCTTGATTTTGAAAGAAAGTGAAGGAGCTTCATTTAGGTGGCACACAGGTGGAGAGAACATCTGGGCCAAAGGATTGAAGCTGTTGATGAAGGTGACAAGGGATGGTCTCAGAGCAAATAAATGAGAGCTGGGAAGTAAGAGGCTGTGGTGAAGAGAGGATTTGGTGAGGCATTGTTTTCAGACCCATGATGGGATTTGTTATAGAAAGACAGCTCGAATTAATGATGGTCCAGTTGAAGGGTTACAGAAAAAATTTATTCCATGCACACTGTCTTACATATCATTTTGGGACTGTGTGTATTGATTATGTTTTTTATTTTCTATGTTTTATGATGCTTCAACATCTTGGAGGCCTTGTTGGCTGGGAGAGACTGCTCCTGTCAGTGCTAACTAGTTCCTAGGTATGCAAACATCTTTAAGAAGGGAAAGTTCCCATTGTTTTAACTGCATAGATTCTGTCCCTATGAAGTGGCAACTTTCAGCTGAAGGGAAGTGGCTAGATCACCAAGAGTTTGCAGTTCCTGGTAAATGAATACTTTCCCAGGCTTTGGGATAACTGGACAAGTGGGAATTTAGAAGAAGGGGCAAATGTGTCCCCTGTGAGAATGTCATTAAGATGCAAACCAACCAATCCAGAGCTCATATACTCAGTCACCTCCTTTATCTAACTCTCACATGCCAAGTCAACATTTTCCCCACCCTAATCACCCCAGGGTGAGGTCTTGGACTACTAGATACCACGCATGTCATCCAGAGCCTGCTGAAATTATTCAAACTATCCTATCTTAGACTTCCTTAAGTTTTCTACTCCACTCACTCATTTCTTCCCATAGAAACCACAATCAAGTCTCTCGGGCATGGTCTTCCCTTTCTTTTTCTGTCTCCTGACAGAAAGAGACAGTATGCCTCTCCACGTGGCCCTGCATGACACAGCTTGCCTCCCCCTCTTAGGAACTGTGAGTAATAAACTGTTCTTTCAAAGGCAGCTGTTTCTGTGTCTGTCACTTTACCCTACCTGATTAAAACAAATCTGGGTACAAATCTTGAAACAGTGTTAAATATTTCAGCATTTAAAATGAAAGACAATGTTATTTCCCATTCCAGCAGTTGATTACACAGATTTGAATGGCTTCTCTGTGTTCTTTTAACCCTGGATGGAGTGTGGCAGTCATTATATGATCTCTGGCTAGACAGCATTTCTGTATGTGTGTTTTGTTGTTTGGTCAGTAGACCTTTGCACATGCACCGCTGAGGTTTGTACAGGTGAATTCAGTACTTTCTGGGTTGGAGTAGGCATCTTAAAAGCCATCTTTGGCTCCAGTCATACTATTCTAGAAATCGCAGTATCATTTTGGCACTGTTGATTACTCCATCCTTGAAATTCCCTTTCTTGGTTTCCATGACACCACAATATGTTTGATTTTCTTCTACTTCTCTGATTGCTCTTTTAAAAAAAACTCCGTTGGGTATTCCCCTTCCTCTGCCTATCCTGTATTTTTATTTGAAAAGCATTTATTGAATAACTGACACATACATGTATGTAAGGAAGGTATTCGATGAAAAACGTAGGTTTATCCCACCTCTATTCCCCAGTCTCCAAACTTTTACTTTGGCAGAAATATGTGTGTCTTTATCTGCGTGTATACATGCACACGTAGAGAACACATAGGAAATATACAGACACATACATGCACATACAATTATATAAGTGTGTGTATATATATATATGTGTATATATGTGTGTGTATATATATGTGTATATATATGTGTGTGTATGTATGTGTGTATATATATATATATATATTTGTTTGAGATGGAGTTTCGCTCTTGTTGCCCAGGCTGGAGTGCAACGGTGCAATCTCTGCTCACCGCAACCTCCACCTCCTGGGTTCAAGCGATTATCGTGCCTCAGCCTCCCAAGTAGCTAGGATTACAGGCATGTGTCACCACACCTGACTAATTTTGTATTTTTAGTAGAGATGGGGTTTCTCCATGTTGGTGAGGCTGGTCTTGAACTCCCGACCTCAGGTGATTGGCCTGCCGTGGCCTCCCAAAGTGCTGGGATTACAGGCATGAGCCACTGCACCCAGCTACAATTAAATATTTTTGCTCATAAATGCTAGCATACCATAAACCTTGATTTATTTACTCATTCATTCAACAATTTTTTAAGACTCTATTCCATGCCAGACACTGATAGGAACTGGGAATACCATGGTGAGTGAAGCAGATGGCCTTTCACAGAGTTTATGTTGGAAGGAATGGGCAATTAGCAGTAGAAATGCAAGTAAGATGATTTCCAGTAATGACAGATGATTAGACATTAAAGCATGATAATGTGAGAGGGGGTGGAGAGGCAACATTACATGGGGTGTTCAACGAAGGCCTCTTTGAGGAGTCAATATTTGAGTTGAGACAGCATCTGAATGACAAAAAGCCAGATTGGGAAGATCTATGGGAAGAGCATTCCAGGAGTGGAAATAACAAGGGAAAATGTGAGATGTGCCAGAAGACAAGAGTAGAATGAGGGATGACTCCTTAATACACATAATCACATGCTTTGCTTTTTTCATTTAACAACTTTTATGAGACCTGGTTCCACACCTGCCATAGATAAAACTGTTTCATTCTTCTCAGCAGCTGCATAGAATTCCATCACAGGGATAAACCAAAATGCATTTAATTGGTCACATATTGATTGATATTTAAGAAATTACTAGATTTTTGATAATCCAAGTAACGCTGACATGAATATTTTTGAACATTCATATTTTCCCACAAAGCAAATAAATTTGTAGGGTCAAACCCTGGAAGTACATTGAAACAAATAATACATGCCATTTATTTTAATTAATATCATCCACTTTCCCTGTATAGAAATTGTATACATTTATACTCTCATTAATAACATACAAGAGAGCCTGTTTCACCTTCCTGCTCTGTGTTAGTCATCTTTCAGTGTTGTTAATTTGACAACTTTATAATTTTATTTTGCTTTCTCTTATGAATGAGATTGAAACCTTTCCGCTGTGTAAGGGCTATTTACATTTCCTTTTCTACAAACAGTCTATTCATAACTTTGCCCATTTTTTGGAGTTATCTTTTTCTTATTAATCGTTAAGAGCTCTATATGTATTAATGAAATGAGCCTCTTTCATTCATTACATGTGAATTTCCAAGTTTCTCTTTTCTCTTTTTGGTTTGCTTAAAGCGGCATCCCATGGAGAAAGCTTTGGGTTATTTTTTACATAATAAATTTCATGTTTTGTGTTATGCTTAGAAAGTCAGTTCATTTTTTTAATGTTAATGCTCCTTGTCTTATCTTGAAGCTGCTCTTCTAACTGCACTTGCTCATTCTGGGAGATCTCGGCCATGCAAATCTCAGATATGCTGGTGACTTCTACCAGCTATGCCAGTTTTTAACATGCTGGTGACTTCTACCAGCCATGCCAATCTCTAACATGCTGGTGAATTCTATCAGCCATGCCAGTCTCTAACATCGGCATTTCTCTACCCAGATTCTCCTGACGCACATCACATAGACTGCTGAGTGTGCTACCCCTTGTCAACATAATCAACAGTGAACTCATCAACTCCACCTTGTCCTTCCCTCACACTGGTTGCTTTCCTTGTGCTCTCCATCTCAGTGAGCCCAATATATCATCTTTTCCAGGACAGAAACCTATCTGTCATCCCTTACAAGGCTTGCAAGACCTGGTTTCTATTTGTTCCTCTAGCACAACCTCTTAATATTTGCAACACACACAGCATCTCTCCCACCCACCTCATCACTACCAATAATTTGCATAGGTGCTAGGAATACAGTGGCATCTTGATCACTGTTGAATTCTTAACTGTCTAGTTCTTGGCATGGAATTCAATCAACAAGTATTTATTGCAAATATGGATGAATAAATAAATTCTGGAATTTTCCTAGTATAACTTACATTTGTACTTAAGTTTTGTGCCAATTTGTGCTCTTTGACATACTCGCATATGTTAGTGTAACATTGTTTAGAAACAGTTATGTCAAGTGAATTTATTTGCTCATTAATTTTTACAAGACAGTGCGGATTATTATTCTTCCTCTTAATGTCTCTTTACTTTATCAATGACAGTAAGGTTTCCTTCAAGCTACTGGGGGATTAAAATGCTTTGTGTAATGCTACTCTCTTTTTTGGAGGGAGGGGAAGTTTCACTCTTGTTGCCCAGGCTGGAGTGTGCAGTGGCACAATCTCGGCTCACTGCAACCTCTGTCTCTTGGGTTCAAGGGATTCTCGTGCCTCAGCCTCCCGAATAGCTGTGATCCCAGCTATTCAAGGGAAGAGTGGAGGATGGGGCAACCTCTGGGAGGCTTTCTCTTTCCTGGATGCAGTCCTTGAGTCCCCTTGTTGGCTTTCCCCATGCAGACCCCTCATGATGGGGAAAACTCTACGGAGCGGAGCGGCCCCCTCTGCCTGGTACGGGCCTGCCATCAGAGCTCGCGCAGATCCCCGCCTGGAGCTTGGCCTGGCCGCCGGCGCCCCAGCACCCTGCTCAGGGCGGCGGTGATCTCGCGGTTGCGCAGGCTGTAGATGAGTGGGCACAGCAGCGGCGTGACGTTGGTGTAGACCAGCGCCAGGGTGCGGTCCAGGCGCGGGGAGTAGCTGGCCCTGGGCCGCACGTACATGAAGGTGGCGCAGCCGTAGTGCAGGAAGGTGACTGCCAGGTGCAAGGCGCAGGTGGAGGCGGCCTTGCCCCGGCCTTTGGGGCAGCGCAGGCGGCGCAGGGCGGCGGCGATGGCGCCATAGGAGGCCAGGATGAGCACCGAGGGCAGCAGCAGCAGCACCAGGCAGGCGCCCAGCAGAGGCAGCTCGTCGGCGTAGCTCCGCGTGCAGGCCAGGTGCAGCAGCGCCGTGATGTCGCAGAAGAAGTGCAGCAGCAGGCGGGAGCCGCAGAAAGGCAGGTGGAAGATGGCCACCGTGAGCCCCACGGACACCGCCAGTCCCCTGAGGCAGCAGGCCAGAGCCAGTCGCGCGCACAGCCCGGGGGTCACCACGGCCGCGTAGCGCAACGGGTGGCAGATGGCCACGTAGCGGTCATAGGCCATGGCGGCCAGCAGGAAGCACTCGGCCCCGCCCAGAGCCACAAACATCTGCATCTGAAAGGCGCAGCTCAGGAAGGAGATAGGGCTGCCCCTGCGGTGGCCCCGGCGTGCTCAGGTCGACCAGGGAGCGGGGCACCACCACCAGCGTGTAGCACAGCTCGATGGCTGACAGCTGGCACAGGAAGAGCAGCATGGGCTGCCGGCTTGGCATCGAGGCCACGGCCACCAGGATGAGCAGGTTCCCGCCCAGGGTGGCCAGGTGCACCCCCAGCAGCAAAAGGAAGAGCACGGGTCTCAGGTGCGGGAATTCGGAGAAGCCTTGAAGGAGAAAGCCACAGGGCACGGTGGCATTGCTGGGACTGTCCATGCACGAGCCCGCCCACAGGCACCTGTAGAAGAGAGGCACAGGAGGGCAGAGCTTGTCGGGTACGCATGCTCTGGCCCTGCGCGTGGAGGAGGAGTCGGGTGGAAGGTAGAGGCTGGACCAGGAATGGTGGCTGCAGAGAGGTCGCAACAGTTCATGGGTCCATTCCCAGCCCACCACCCCCAGTCCTCCTCACAAGGAAGTCTTACTGACTTGTTCAGAAAAAGAGTGCAGTTTTTGCTGCCTCCTGGACAAGAATTCCTATAGCTGCCCTCTCAACGTGCTCTTTCAAAAGAAGCCTGGGTTTTAGCTCATGTGCCTCTATAGTCCAGTTATTATTTTGTGGGTCCTATAGGGCTGTGAGTATAGTGTCTGCTGCAGTCTTGAGACCACCATGGCAGGAAATGTCTTTAGTTCCCGCTTCTGTCTTCTCCTGCCTGCCCTGTTCTGTCATTTCTAAGTTGCCTTCTGTGATGTATCACAGAATCACAAAAACACAATGCAGGTGAGGGCCTTAGGGATCATCTCATGTAACTTCCTAATTTTAAGGAGGAAAATAAAGTTCAGGTTGGAGGGAAAGGGGATTGTTGAAGGACGTATTGCTCACAGGAAGTTAGGAACGGAATCTGCATTCTGAGGCTGAATCCAAAACTTTCTATGACCCAGGTCCTGAAAAAAGGTCACTCAGGTCAAGATAATCCACATTTGTTTAGTTTTAAGTAGACACCCAGATCTGTGCCAGGCTCTGGGGCAGGCACTAAAGCAGCAGAACATGCTTTGTGGGAGGGCTTCCCTGGGTGCATCAGGAACAATATGTCCCTAACATTTTTATTAATGCTTTGTCAACGTGAGAAAAGGGACGTGTATTTGTTCTAACTTGACTTTTAGTTAGCAGTACATTCCAAATTTGCCATCAGAACACAGTTTCGTTCTAAGCATTATACGGTGACTCATTTGCAAGTAACATTTGGAAAACAGTGACAGTGTGCAGGTCAGCTGCATTTCTCATAATCCTTTGGGATGGAAGAACCAGGAGGTGGAAAGAGATTTGAGGTCATGCAAGCTGGAGGAGGAGGTTTAATTTTTCCAATCGATATTAATGAGCTCTCTCTTTTATTAATTTTTAATTTTAAATGTAAGCTCAACTATTTGCTCTTAAAATCACTGTTAATCAATGTTGGAAGTGGAATTTCTTCATAGTTGTTATATCCTAGAGTAAAAGAGCAATAAACCTGGGTCAAAGGGCAACAGGAAAATCAGATGAAAGAACTGGAAGGAATGCAAAGAGTTGGGCTTTTGCTAATACTTTTTTTTTTTTTTTTTTTTTTGAGACAAGGTCTCAGACTGCTGCCCAGTCTGGAGTGCAATGGCACCATGATGGCTCACTGCAGCTTCGAACCCCCCAGCTAAAGAAATCCTCCCACTCCAGTATCCTGAGTAGCTGGGACTACAGGCACACACCACCATGCCCAGCTAACATGATGGGGTTTCACCCTGTTGCCCAGGCTGATCTCAAACTACTGAGCTCAACAATCCATCTGCCTTGGACTCCTAAAGTGCTGGGATTACAGGTGTGAGCCACCATGCCCTGCAAAATACCTCTTTTTGAGAGGAGAATTCTAAGGGTTTTTATTTCTCCGTGTCACTCTGTGCTCTTCCTCATCCTATCTGAGGGCAGCACTTTCAAATGGATGTTTTCAGTCTTCTAATGGAAGAGTAGGGTTGGGTTTTGGGTAGGTCTGAGGGAGGTGGATTCATTTCCCATCTGTTTTAGATCATTCACTTTTCAGTTTTTGGCCACCCTTCATGCTGTTGAGCAAATGTAACAAACCTGTGTTGAGTGCCTCCTCTTCGCCAATTATTGTTTGCTATGAACATGAGAGAGATGCCTGGCTTTCTTGGAGGATTCCTGAAGTGCCAGGACAACTCTCTTCTCTCCGCCTCTGCTCTGTTCTCTACTTCTTCCTCTTCATCTCCTTAGAGAAGCGTGATGAGCACAAGGGAATGCAGAAGAAAAAAAAAAAAACAGAAATATTCCAGTTCTTCCTCCAGGTTCATACCACACAGAAATGTAAATGACAAGCAAATCCCATTGATGGCACCAATACCTAGCAGCTCAAGGTACATCGTGTTTTAAAAACATTTGTGTGGAAGTTAAAACAAGTTGAACTCAGAAGAAGTAAAAAGCAGAACAGAGGATAGTAGGGGTTGGGAGGTAGGGGGAAGGGGGCTAGGAACAGATCCTTTGTTAAAGGATACAAAATTACAGCTAAATAGAATTTCTTATGTTCTACAGCATTGGAGGATGACTGTGATTAACAATTTTATATAGTTTCAAATAGTTGGAAGGAGGATATTGAATGTTCGCAACACAAATAAATGATACATGCTTGAGATGATGGATATACAATATCACTATACATTATATGTATCAAAACATCACTAAGTTCCCCATAAAAATGTGTAATTATTTGTCAATTACACAATAAAATTTAAAAAAAGTGCTCTAAAGCAAGTCAAAGGGGCTAATTAAATGGAAAAGAGACTAAGGCGTGTTTCTGCTCTTAGAGTTTTTAGGAGGTATTGTCACAAATTCTAGGAATGTATGTTTCAGTCTTTTCTCTGGGAGAGGGAGGGAGAACAGATACTTTCAAAGCTTCAGTGATTCAAATCCAACTCTACCCTAGGAGGAGAAGTTACAGAGAGAGAAGAAAACACCACAAGGCCTGCCTAAGCCACCTTCCTCCCCCAGGGAGAAAGCAGATGTTCTTACTCTTCCGAGTGATGAATAACATCAGCTATAACAGCTAACATTTAAGAGACTGCCAGGCAATGCTCACGAGGACTTTGCAAATTTAATTTAACTTATTCTTAGTGACAGTGCAATAAGGTTAGTGGACTCTCTCCATACCCATGTTATAGATGAGGAAATTGAGGCCTAAGGAAATGAAACATCATCTAGCTAATTAACAGTATAGCCAGATTTATACCCAAGCAATCTAGCCCCCAATAGTCCATAGTCTTATCCACTATATAGTCGTCCTTATTTATACCTTTTCCAAAACATCCTTCCCTCATGAGACACATCTTACCCTTCTTTTCATATACCCCACCTTCTGCAGAAGAGAAATCACCCACGGTCTCTAGGCATTTCTGTCCTCAGATTTCCCTTTGTTGACATTTTTCTTGAGGACATGTGGATGTGAGCAGCAATGCAGATAATCTAAGATAGCAAATCTAAAAATAATTTCTCCTTAGCTTTGACATTCATTGCTGCTATTGTTATTGTTCCGGCAGATTCACTTTTTTAATTGGGTAAGACTCCATGGAGCACCCACAGAGTCATGGCTGGCTGGTGGCCCAGGACATCTGGATGTGGCTGAGAGCCTTGCTGGGCTGGAGATGCAGATCTGAGATTTGATTTTTTGCTGTATAGAATAATTAAAATTATCTGCAATCATGATGTTTTTAATCGGCCATTTCAAGAGTCAATGGAAGCACCCCTAAAGGGTGGATGTGGGATGGGAGATGTGAGAGCTAGACCAGTCAGCCCCTTTCAGGTTTTGAGGATTCCATAGAATGCTGAACTGGAATGGAGCTTAAAGGTCAAACATTCTAGGCCTTCATGTGAGGTCCAGAGATGTCACTAATCAGACTTGGATCTCACCATGGTCTTTTAGCAGGAGAACTGGACTAGAGCCTGGTTCTCACACCTCTGGCTGAATGGTTCCATTTCTGTAAGAATTGTCTTCCAGAGTAGACCTGAGCTTACTGATCTAGTATTATAGTTTACAAAATCACCAAATGAGAGGTCACAGCAGAATTTTATCATTGTCCTATAGTAGTTTAGGATAAAATTTTATCATTTCCCTGATCTGGTAAGAAGTTAAACTTAGAAGATTATGAATATGCCTGGATTTCTTAACCTCATTTAATAACTCTTCATAGGCTTCTGGTCTATGAATTTATATAAATTATTCTGGAACCCACTTTTATCCAGTGATTCCTTTTAGGAATAACACACTATACATTCATTTTTTTTTTTTAGCCTTAGTCCTTAGTGAAGTAAAAGGAGTCTCCATAGTTTATATTTCTGCTTTGTTGTTTATAGTTTATATTTCTGCTTTGTTGTTTTCTGAATGCTTGATGTGGGGAAGGGGCAAGGTAATAAACTCTTCCAAAGTCTCAGACTCCTCACTGATTCAACAGAGGGTAACAAAAGAGGCTTGATGATGGATGATTCCATAGAAATAACATGTACAAATTTCTGGTACAGACCTGATACATAGTAGGTGCAGAAAAACACTGAAAGCATTTTTACTTTTATCCTTTATTACTTGACAGGCTTAAGTCATATTTTCTCTGAGTATTCTCCCTCCCACCATGGAACTCTCCATAAGCGTGCTGTTTCAGGGGATTACCTAGTGCCTTTTCTCTTTCTGAGGTGCAAGAAGTAAAGTGAGTGTATATCTGGGTGTGGGAACCTTATGAGGAGATGAGTAGACATAGATGTAGGGAAGTCTGTCTATCTGTCTGTCTGTCTTCTATCTATCCACCTATTTCTATCTTTCCACTTATTTTCCCTCCTGCACTTCCTACTGTCTTTCTGAGACTGTACAAGCTATGGAAGAAGACATCACTAGATTAAAATCCTGGCTTAATCACTTATGTGCCATATTGACTTTGGTTGATGTACTCAATTTCCATGATCCTCAGTCTCTACATCTAAATGGAGATAATGATGCCTAATTCATAGGGTTGCTGTGAGAATCAGGCATATTATAAAGAAAGCCCATTACATAGTACCAGGCATGAAGAAGCTAACAAAAGGTGGTTTCTAATCATTTCATTTGACTACTCTGTCTTCTACAATGTCATGTCAGTCTTTGTGCTCCCTCTGCATAGCAGCCGACAACTGCAATTACTGTAATGCCTCCTTTCCCTACATCATACAGGCCTTTTTCTTGGTTTATGACAGATAACTTGAAAATAATTAATTTACATATATTTGCATTATATATGTTAAATTTAAATTTATTTTATAAAAGAAAACTCATTTACTATTCTTCTTGTTTTTTTTTTGCTGTCATGCAAACTTCCACATTTTTTAGTGTTTTTTTTTTTCCTCATCAATTTGGTAATTCCTTTACTGAAAGGAGGTAAATGTCATCTCTGGATTTATCAACTTCACTGTGTTGTCCCTCCCCAACCTTTTATGATCTCAGCCTCCATCGCTGGGATATGTGTTATTTGCCTGCATGGTGTTTCTGTCTTGTGAGCCAGTTCCTTTTACATGATAAAGCCGCCTACTGAATCTGTGATGACTAAATTTGGTATGAGATCTTGTCAAGGTCTTTTGAAAGTCTAAATAAAAGAAACCCTCTGTTAGTTTCTTGTTGGCTTCTTTCTCTCTCAAAAGCATTTAACTATTAACAGATTCAATAGGGAATGTTTTCCTTACACAAACATTCTTGCTTTTCCCCCTTTATGGTGTTTTCTGAAGTGTTTAGTGATCCTGCACGTTATACAAATGAGATATCCTGGGTAGCTGTGGCATCAGCCCTGGAGCCCTTCTTTAACATGATGGTTACATGGGCAGTCTTTTAGTCTGCTAGTTCTGGGTCAGTATGCGACCTTTGTTTTTGCCTTTTGACCAACACGTTCCCCTCAAGCTTCCTGACAAGTCATAATTACCAGTCTCGGCAACATGTGCACCTGTGTTTAGACCTCCTGAATAGTTGCCACTGCCAGTTCTCTTTTCTGCAGAAGTCAATGATGGGATCAGGGCTTTGAGGAAAGCATCATTTCAGGCTCCCTGGTCTCTTTTATTTTCATCTGGAGAGGAGCTTTGAACCAGGAAAATCTAGGAGTCCTGCTGATATTAGAGCTGACTTTGATGCTTAAAAAAAAAAAAAATTCCTTACTTCAATGAGGCAGTACCCGTTTTAACTAATGTCTGTAACTCAGGCTTCTGCCAGAGGACGAGGGATAAGCTTCAAAAATGAGCACTTGAATGTTCCACATCAAAATTATCTGGTGGAGGGACTGTCCCAGTTCTGGTGCTGTGAAGGTCAACTTCATCACACATAGATGCATGATATTGTACTTTCACATTTTGAAAACGACCCTAGGCCTGAGGATTAGTTACTTTATCTACTTGAGAAATATTAGCATTTAATAGGGAAGCTAGTTTGTTTTCAAAATTTGTTTCTAAAAATAACTATCATTTTCCATGAAGTTGATTTTAGTAGACTTGAACATACTTTAAACTTCTAAACATCATTTTGTGCTACAAAACAGCAAGTGATCTCCCTCGAAAACCCAGCAAGACCCTCCTTCTAAAAGATGTTTTTCTGTTTCTTGCTGGCCATAGATGAGAGCTGGAATGAAGTACCAGGGCAAGGGAGCTGCCTGGATGAGGAAACCAAGGCTATCTCAGTACTGCCAAGGTGTTTTCATCATTCATCAAAATGCAAAAGTAAACACTGGTGAGAAAAACGATGTTGATCTCCCAGGCAAGCCACTTTCCAGGAGTGTGGCTGATTATTTTCAAATGCTGCATCGGAAAGTTGCAGGCCCCTTGGAAAATCTGTCACCCCTGAGAGTGATGTGAGTGATTTTGGCTTCGGGGGCTCTTTCCAACGGGATCATTTCCCTGCCATCCAATTGCCTGCCTTAGTGTTTCCAGAATAGATCCCTGTGGTTGCTGAGAAAGAGCAATAAATGCCTAAATGATTCAGGAGGCCCGAGGCTGGGCTCTGAGGGGGGCCCAGTCTCATCAGTGGGGAGTCTCTTCAGTGGCGGATCCTGTTATTGATGTGGTCTGGGGCCTGGGGATTTTGTTCTTTGACCAAGACAAAGGAGTAATACATGGAGACTTTCCTTCCTAGGCTTTGTCTGAGGTCAAATATTTGTTCTCCCATGGAGCTGAAAAATAATCAAGGATATCATCTTCTTGAATATTCTCTATTCTGCTTCTAAGAGTTGAAGAAATAATATTTTCCTCAATTCTATTTTTACAGATTATTCTACAGAAACAACACATCACTGGATGCCTCTCACCATGCAATCCTCTGTGCACTTGAGAAGAAGACAAGACTCTCCTATTTTTAGATGGGAAAGCTGAGGCAAAACGGATGCACTTGGGCAAAATCATTTGATAAAAATGGAAGCTGAACCTCCAAGTCCTGGCATCGGTAGCTGCCTCATGTTCCTCCCGCCTCACTCCACCTCAGTGTACCCGCGACTGGAGGGTGCCACAGGCTGGAGCACACAAAACACTGTGTGCTTCGTGATTCTGATGTGGGGCGCCAGATCCGGTGGAAGGAGGGTGGCTGCGTGGGAACAGATGCTCGTGTCACAAGGAGTTGTCTCTTGTGGGCAAAGCAAGCTGGAAAGTGTTTCGATTTCTTTATTTTCATGCTCTACTCTTGGTGCTTCCTTCTCCTTTGCCCACCAATCCCCCCAATGCCAGGCTTCTCCTTACCTGGGTGCAGAGAGAGGAACAACTTGGAGGTGGGCAGAGAGGGACTCAGTTCATGGTGCTTGGAGGTGGGAGAGCTCCCAGGCAAAATAGAGAGGAGACTGTGGAGATGCCGTGGGCAGGTGTGGAGGAGAGGGAGAGCTTGAACGGTGAAAAACAAGAGATGGAGAGTCTGGGAGAAGGGTGAGCAGCCAGAATGGGGATTTCCACAGTAGCTTCTGATGAGCTATGTCTGGTCAGAACTATAACCTTAGCTTCCTTTATTTCCCTGGAGGGGTGGGGAGATAGGAAGGAGAGGAGTATACTAGTCTCTTCCAAAGGGAGGGCCAGAGCAAAAGCGTCCTGTGATTAATTACTCACCACAAAAACCCTCTTCAAGGCTGGAGACCTAGGAGGGGCTTGGCACACAGACAACTCCTCTGCAGCTGTTCAGAGAAAAACAGCTCTTCCCATCTCAAGCCGCCCACCTGCCCAGTGTGCTGTCTGTCCCACTGGTCACACACTTTCCCTAGAGTGCTTCTTGCTTCTCTCACAGCAATTCCCACCTCCGCATGCTGGACCAGGCGGCCCCCTCTAGATCCCATGGTGAAGCATCAGGTGCCCACAGGTCTAAGATGTCTTCATTTGTTCAATGGCTAGAGCAGGCAGCTGGCTGTCCAGATGCATGAATGAATTCCCTAACTCTCACATGTCTGCAGGAAACTGCTGTAGGAAGCCTGCACCAGTGGATTGCCATTCGGGCAGATCCTCTCAACTTTGAGAGCTTAAGGCTTGCTTTTGAGTATGTGATTATGATCCTGCCTGTGTGTATGTATGTCAGAATCATAGAACTCTAGAGGTCATGTTTTAATTAATTTATTCATTCATTGATTCATTAACAAATGCTTATTGAGTACCTACTATGTGTCAGGCTGTGATCTGGATACTGAGGCACAGATCAGTGAGCAAAACAGACCAAAAGCTCTGTCATCATGAAGCTTATATTCTAGAGAGAAGAGATATACTATCATCAAATTAAGTCAGTTATGTAGCATATTAGAAAGTGATAAGTCCAGTGGGGTAAAATAAAGGAGGATGATGGGGAATGTGAGGGGCGGCATGCAATTTTAAATAGAATGTTTGAGGAAGGCTTTCATGGGAAAGTGATATTTGGTGCAAAACGTGAAGGCGGTAAAGAGGTGAATTATGTGGCTATGTCGGGGATGGACATTACAGGCAGAAGAATTAGTTAGTCGGGGCTCTGAGCAGGGAGCAGGTCTGGCATGTTCCCATCCCAGCAAGTAGGCCAGTGTGGCTCTGGTGGAGTAAGCAAGGATGGAATTGCAGCAGGTGAGTCCAGAAGAGTGATAATGGACAGCCAGTTGGGGGTGCCTTCCAGGTGATTGTGGGAACTAGGCTTTATTCTGAGTGTGATGGGTAGCCACTTGGGGCTTTCAGGACAGGATGGTAAAAAAAGGATCATGCTGCCTGCTGTGTTGGGAACAGACTGTATGGGACCAGGTGAAAGCAAAGCAGTCAGCCTCAAATAATTCAGGTGAGGGAAAACGTGACTTGAATAAGATTCACTGTAGAAGTGGTGAGATATAAGTGGATTCTGGATATAATAAAAATATAGAGCCAGCAGGATTTTCTGATGGATTAGCTAAGGAGTGTAAAGAAATAGAGGAGTCAGAGTGACTTTTTTTTTCCTTGAGCAACAGGAAGTGGAGAGGTATCATTACCTGAAAGGAGGAAAGCCTCAGGTAGAGAAAGTTTTAGAGGAGGTAAGATCAGAGGTTTAGTGCAAGACATGCTAAGTTTGAGATGTCTATTAGATACCCAAGTGGATCTGTCTAATGGGTATTTAGACAGATCCACTTGGATATCTGTCTCAATGGACATGTGATCTACATGTAGTTCACAGGATAAGTCCAGTTTAGAGTACCAATTTGAAGTCATCAAATGTAGGTGGCATTTAAAGTGGTAAAACTGGACTGAGCACAGTGGCTTATGCCTGTAACCCCTGCATTTTGGGAGGCTGAGGTGGGTGGATAACTTGAGGTCAGGAGTTCGAGACCAGCTTGGCCAACATGGTGAAACCCTATCTCTACTAAAAATACAAAAAATTAGCCAGGCATGGTGGCACATGCCTATAATCTGAGCCTCTCGGGAGGCTGAGGCAGGAGAATTGCTTGAATCCAGGAGGCAGAGGTTGCAGTGAGCCAAGATCGTGCGACTGCACTCCAGCCTGGGTGACAGAGTGAGACTCCATCTCAAAAAAATAAATAAATAAATAAATAAATAAAACAAAAATAAAAAATAAAGTGATAAAACTGGAGATCACTATGAGAATGAGGATAGCTAGAGAAAAGAAGGGGTCCAGAAGGTTATCCTTGCTGTGCTCCAAGGTGCTTGAGTTTGGAAACATGAGACAAAACCAGAAACAGAGACCCTGGGAGAGTCTGTGGTCTCCATTTTTCCGCTGAGCAAACCACAGGCTTGTGTTCTGCCTATCTCCCACTTCGCACATGTACAGCATTGTAGAATATTTACATGGAAAAGGATTCTATGATATAGTAGAGTGACTTCCCCTATTGATAACAAACAATTATGTCAGTCCCTACACAACTCTTATGCTAAAGGTAATGGGGAGGGTTGAATGGTACTCATTTGGGCAGCTTTTTTTTGGCTATGTATACTTTCAGAAAGAATTTACCTCACCTAGATCACATGACTAAAATATAGGAATATTAATACCCACTGTGTCTAATTGGCAGATTGTTTTGAGATTTTAAATGAGATCTATTCATGAAAACATTTTGTTAATCTTAAAGCACCACACCAATATCACCTATTATATTGTACAGCCATGATCAACACAATTTCCAATCTAGAAGTCCCTCTCAACTTTTCCTGGGACTGAGCTTTCAGGACTTAGAGTTCCTTCTCCTTCTCATTCTTTTTCTGCGCATAGTCTCCCGGTAAAGTGAAAACCAGCTGAGAAAAGATTCGGGCTGGACAGGCCTCCGTGGCGATTAAGAGTCACGAATGTGATGATATTATTCGCAAACAGCAGTGTAGTCATGGTTCAGAATTTTGGAAACAGTGCCAGGAGGATCTTGGACATAATTTTCAGGGTGTATAAGCCCTGCACTAAAGTAAAGTTTACCAGTGCCAAGAGTTTGACGTTTTCTTCTTCATGTTTTCTTTGGCTGGAGCCTGGCTTTAGTTGAAGAGTTCTGTCAACAAATGGAATTCTCTATTTGGGACTGGGATTCTTGATTGGTGGTGCTTCTGTCTCCTCTTGCTGTGAGTTTCCTCAAACTTAGAGTCCTGTGGGATCTGTGTTTGAACAGAGACTGGAAATGCTTACCTCATCTCCACATTTCTTAGCCATTTGTCACCAGACTGTAGATTGACTGGTGGGATGCCTGTTTCTAGAGAGAAAAGATACTGCTTTTCTCTGACTCCAGCTGAGAAGAGGTTGGTTAAATTACGAATCTGATGACTATCTATGAACCTAAGGAGGAAAAGTTAATTTCTTTTGAGGGTTTGCATAATGTTTTAAAACAAATTTATAGAAATATAGATGATGGAAAAAAGCAATAGGGTAAACCTAAATTATTAAAAATAAATAATACATAGGAAATAAACAGCATAGAAAAGAAACAAAAAAGAGATTGTTACCAAAAACCATAAGTTTTTTTTTTTTTGAAAATTCTAAGAAGGTGGATAAATTTCTGGAATTTTCAATGAGCAAAAAAGTGAAAAGATACAAATGAATAAAAAATGAAAAGGTAGAAATTAAAATAGGTCTAGTAGAGATTAAAAATAATAAAAGAATATTATTAAAAAGTATTGGTGGATAAAATAGGCACATATCTGAAGATAAAAGCCGAATTGACCCCCTAAAAAGCAGAAAACTTACAATAACAATCATTAATGGCTTTGAATGGCTATGAAAAAATAATATCTCTGCCCTCTTCACTACTCCCATGTAAAATAATTTTACGGGTAGATTTTACCAACGTTTCAAGAGAGACATGATTCCCAAATATTATGTAAGTTTTTTCAGAAAATGAAAAAAAAGAAAACATTAACAACTCATTTTATAAAATTTGCATAATTTAGAAAATGCATACACTAATTTTATAGATAAAAGCATTTAAAAATATTATCCAAGTTCAACATTTTAAAAAGCAACACATTTTTACAATTTTCTCAGGAATAGAAAGATAGTTCAACTCCAGAAAATCTAAAACAGAGTCATCTCAATATACATGAAAAAAAGATGAAAATTATTAGAAAGCTAGAAATACACAGGAATTTTATAATCTAATAAACCCTATGTACAAATATTCCACAACAAATTTCATGTTTAATGGATAAATCTGAGGCACTTATTTTCAAGTCAGGAACTAGATATATATGCTTTGTATAAGTGATACCTGTCAGCACAGTGTGCTAACAATTTTAGTCAATACAGTGAAAAAGAAAATAATTGTTATAAATAATACATTGTAATTATTTGCTGATGATATGATCATTTACATTTAAAATGCAAGAGTATTAATGGCAAACTAGTCACACCAATAAGAAAGTTCAGCAAAATTTTCTAACATAAGATCAACATATAAAAGTAAATAAGTTTTCTCTATATCAACAATATTATATTAGAAACCATAATAAAAAGAAGCAACACACTCATAAAATATATAGAAATGAATTTTTTTAATGCATAGGATTTATAAAAAAATTATAAAGCCCTAGTAAAGCACAAGAAAGAAAGTTCAAATAAATGGAGAAATACACTATGTTCATGAATGGGGAGACTTTATCTTGTAAATACATCGGTTTTTCTAAGTTTGGAATATATTTAATGCATTTCCAATAATAATTACAAGAAGAATCATGGGAAAAATTCCATATTGATTTAAAATATATAGAGAGAAATAAAGGTCCTAAAATAGTTAACACAGATTTTAACTTTTGAATTAAGGTGGAGAGAAGAAAGGATGACTAATCCTTCTAGATATTAACAAATACTGCAGAGCAACAATTAGTAAAATACATTCATTTTTGTATAAGAATAAGTAGATATACAGTACAAGATCGACAGTCCAGAAACAGACTGATATCTCTACATGAACTTGGTAAATGATGGTGATGGCATCGTAAATCAGCGGAAAATGTTTTAAGTTTAAAATAAATGTTCTATGGAAAGTAGGCTAATTATATGAGAAATAATCAGTTAAATGCTCCAGATATACCAAGAAGATATAAAATACATAGGACTTTTCAAGAAAAAT
This sequence comes from Homo sapiens, assembly GCF_000001405.40. Lineage (NCBI taxonomy): Eukaryota > Metazoa > Chordata > Mammalia > Primates > Hominidae > Homo > Homo sapiens. The sequence goes on from NC_000007.14 coordinate 143,524,680, forward strand.
TGATGGATTTGACTATAAAAATAAATAGTTTGGCTAACACAGGACAGCATAAGTCAAAATAATAGTCCAGGAAGTGATATTTACATCATTAATGACAAAAATTCTAGAGCTATATAAGGAAAATCACTAATTAATTTAAAAATTAGACACAGGATGCAATTAAACTGTTTAACAAGAGGAATTTGAATGGACAAGTCTTTGAAGAGAGTCTTCTCAGCATTGCTTTTAGGTAGAGAGTAACATTTAAATTACCATGCAATCTCTTTCTTCTTCATTTTAACCACGTCTTACCATTAGACTTTCAGGATCAAGCTATCTGTTGCTAAGAAACAAAAGCAAAATTGCCTTTTTCTCAACAGATTTAAGTGAAAATCAGTAGTCAGTTCAGGTGTGACTCTAAGAAGACACATTGGAGAGTATGCTGGGCTTACATGAAGCTAGCCACGTGTGTTGGCTCACACATCTATCTTGCATTGGTTCCACGTTCCTTCTCATGATCCTCTGAGCAGAAATATTTTTCACAGTTATTAGTTACAATTTGCTGGAAATTGCAACCCATTGGAGTTTTTTTCCCTTGTTTTCTTAAATTCACTAATAAACATATGTGACACTTTTTGAACTATTTACCAAACGTGACTTTGAGGCTACATTACCAACTTCAGCCAGGTGGTTTAACACATTTGAGCATCACACTTGGTGCTTAAAAGGTGCTAAGTAAAATATTAAATGAATCCAGCAGGAACAAATGAGAAACCCATTTATAATCATTGCATTGGCAAAAATTAAAATGCTGGAAAGCATAAGTGTTGGTGAGGTTGTAGAGAAACAAGAACTCTTCTCTACTGAGAGTGGAGGGATAAATTAATGTTGTTATTCTGGAGAATAATTTAATAATACTAGTGAAATTACATATATTCATATTCTATGGCTTTGCAGTTTCATTACTGAGTATACACCCCTCAGTTACTCTTCTGGAGATATATTAAAGATAAGTTCTCAGAAGTTTACTTACTGCAGCACAGTTTGAACCAACAAAGAGTTGGAAATAACTCGAATGCCCATTAGTGAGAAATGGATAATCAAAATGTGAAATATGCAAGTAGTGGAGTACCATGCAGTAGTTAGAAGTAATAAACTACATTTAAGTACATCTACATTAATAAATCTCAAAAATATGATGATAAGTAAAACAAGTTAGAAGAAGAAATGTAGCAAAATGCCAAGTATGTTAAAAACACAAGAGTGAGTACCTGCATGTAATGTTAAATAATACTACCAAATATAAGGATATAAAAAGAGCAATCCTGCATCACTGATAATATTCTACTATAAGCTGATTGTTGTAAAGTTAGTTTTTTTGCCTCTAAAATAAAAATAAAATTTGCAGTAACCTTCAAAATTAGTAAATAAAATTAAAAAATAGAACTATTAGGAGCTACAAACGATTTGGGTCAGTGTGAGTCTCATGTATATAATTTCCATTCACATTTAGTGTGCTGCACATTTTCTTACATCAATTCATTCATTCTGTGAATTCATTCATTCTATGAATTCATTCTATCAATTCATTTATTGCTTATTGATAACTAATACCATTCATAATTCATAATTGCTTATTGATAACTAATACCATTCTAATGATTGTTCCTTCTCTTATTATCCATTTTTCTCATTTGAGGTCTATGGTATCACGAGTTGATATCAGAAAGTCTTGTTACCATTGTCTATAAATTTCTAAGATTACTTTTACCATCTTTGATGATTTCTGGTAATAAAGGCTGGGCAATATAGGGATGCAGACAATATTTTTGATCTACTTGCTGTCACATAATCAGTTTCCTAAATGAAGTAATACTTCATTTATGGAAACTTGTTGTCAATTTTCCTGTCCATCTGTCTTCTGGTACATTTTCAGTGACTTCAGCATTTATGTTATAATATGCTAACCATGCTTCCCATTCTTTACTATTTCTATTCCTCTGCTTAGCTAGTAGCAAGGAGATCCTTAAGCCCCATGACCAATTGTCACTAATCCTCTAAGATATCTCCTGAACCTTTTAACTATAAACCCTTGTTTATATAGTAAGACTGCCCATTTATTATAATTTCAGCCACTCCATTAGCTTTGCTTCTGATCAGACACTTAGCAACTTTTTTGATTACCAGTGCCTGGCCAAAGTTCACGTGGGTTCCTATACATGCTTAATAATTGTCTGCTCAGTTGCTGATGAAATCTCTATATCTCTGCCAATCAACCTTCTGCTTTTCTCAAGCCTAATCCTGCTCACTTTATTCTCAGACAGATGTTTTTTATTTATTATTACTGCTCCTGCTCCTTCTCCCTCTACCACTACCACTACAATAGCTTAGGAAAGCTCCTGGAACATAGTAAACACTCAGTAAATGTTCACTGCTGTTCTTATCAATGCTACTACACTACTGTTAAGTCTCCTAGGACCACCACATGGTGAACATTTATTATATATCAAGCCTTGTGCCAAGTATTTTACACGTATCATCTCATATAATTTAATATATTTTTACTGAGAACATTGAAACCATTCAAAAAGTAATCTTTAGCTTTTTTCAAAATTGATTTCCTTATAAAGTAACACCTTTTAATCTCACAAAAGAGGTCTGCTCACCCTGTCCAAGACCAACACCTTGATATGTATTTTCATCCTCTGTCTTTTCTGTCACTTCCAAGGCCCTGTTTTGTTGCCTTCTGACTTCTAGATTCTTCAGTCTCTTCCACTGGCTCCTTTTTTGGCCTTTCAATATGCCTACGTCTAATTTGTCTTGAAAACCCCCAGGTCTGAATGTTTTTCTGTAAAAGATTCTTTCATATTTTTCTCCTGCCTATCATTGTGCTTATCGTTAGGCATGTTATCTATGCCTTCTTCTTGACTGAATTACATGCACTTGGAATCCATTTCTATTCTTTCTGAACTAATCATTGGTAATAATTTCCTAGTTATCAAAGTCTTCTTCTAGCTACTTAATCTCTATAGGTTTTTCTAATGCATTTTGCCCCTTTGATCACTGTATCCTTGAATCTCTTTCTTCTTTGGCTTTTATGATAGGAGAAGTTCATTTCTATTACATGCTCCCCTGCCTCTTTAAGGCCAGACGTTGTGTATCATGAGGCACCATCTGAAGGATCTTGGAAGTAGACCATGCACAGAAGGTTCGGAATGGGGCAGCAGTGGAGTCAGGATTTACATTGTCAGAAAGAGTCAAAAGGACACAAGAAGGCAGAGAAAAGCAGAAGATTTGTTTTCCTGGCATCAATTAATAACAAAGATTTTAAGAGAAATATTATTAATATTAGTCAAAGAGTTGACAAAAACTGATGGATAGCTGAGATACCTGCACTAGTTTTAGGTGAAATATTATGAAGATCTGGGCAGAGTTGGCCAAAGAGTTTTGGCTAGTTCAAAAACTGATGGAGCTGGAGCAAGGAAGGGCAGCAGATGTGCAGGTGGGCAGTTGGGTGGGCTGACAGGGAGGGAGATAGGTTGGTGGACAGAAGAACAGATAGAAAACAGGAAAAAAAGGCCAGGCACGGTGGCTCATGCCTGTAATCCCAGCACTTTGGGATGCTGTGGTGGGTGGATCACATGAAGTCAGGAGTTTGAGACCAGCTTGGCCAACATGGTTAAACCCCGTTTTTACTAAAGATACAAAGATCAGCTGGGCATGGTGTTGTGTGCCTGTAGTCTCAGCTACTCAGGAGGCTGAGGCACGAGAATTGCTTGAATCTGGGAGGCAGACATTGCAGTGAGCCAAGATTGTACCACTGCACACCAGCGTGGGTGACAGAGCAAGACTCTGTCTCAAAACAAAAATAAAAAACAAACAAACAAAAACAGGAAAAAAGATAAAGCGAAAGAGACCTAGCTCCATTTACTTACCTTCTCTTGATGGAAGTTACTCCTTGGTTGTTTTTGCTCAGAGGCCTGGGGGTAGTGAAAGCAGGCTGGGTGACTGTGGGATTAAGTGAGGAGCTGGGTTGAGCTGACCACGGCAGTGAAATGAGTAGAACCTCATAGGGGTACAGAGCTGATGGGAAAAGCACTTGGGCCATCATCATCCTCCCGGTTTAATAAACATCGGTCACCTATACATTTTTAGAGCTTTTTATTATAGACATTTTCAAACATATACAAACATAGTATACTGAGCTGAGCCCTCATGTATTTATTATCCAATTCAATACCTATCAACATTTTTTCAGTTATGTTTAATCTGTGTTTGCTCCACTGCCCTTTGGTGTTTTTATTTTTGCTGCAATGTTTTAAGACAAATCCAAAGTATCCTATTATTTCACCCACAAATAATTTAGTACCCACACTTGTTTTATATTGAAGCACTGTATGTTTTTAAAAGAAGCAGTAGCTGAAAGCCCAGAGGGCTCTGGAAGTGGATAGAGTAGGGACTTTGGTACTAGTGCTTTTGGTTTCCTTTAAGTTTTGTGGCTTTGAGATGCCCAAGGACTAGACCTTATTCCTTAAATTAAAGCAGGGTTTTCATTTCTTAGGCAGTCAGCTTGCTCTTTAAAACTGAAATTTTTATTTTGGGTAAAAAGGACTTTGCCATTTGAATGTCTGTAATAGGTAGCCACAGAACCATTATTATAATCAATGTAAATTCTAACTCTGAGAGATAAATAAGTACTAGAGAAAAATAGACTAACCTACTAGGAGAGATATGAAAAGACATAAAACAGAATTAACAATGTAGTACTACATAGAGTGCCTCAAATTAGCAATACAAAAAATAGGTGTGCTCAATGACAGCAAGCCAACTATATAAATTGGAAATTGGGATATGTAATTCAGGAAAAGATTTGTTTTCTAATGTGCAACTTATTACAATCAGTGATGGATGCACCAAGCTTAATTGTGGTAATTACTTCACTTTATATGTACATAAAATTGTCACATTGTACAGCTTAAACTTATACATTTTTTTGTCAATTGTAACTCAATAAAAAATTTTTAAATAAAAATAAATCTCTCAAAATAAAAAGTTCATTTCATGCTATGTTTTAATCATCTTTATTAAGAAGGGCAAATTACATAAAACCAGGACCATGTAGAAAACCTGGGACATGTGGTCCACACTGCAGTGAGTTGAATTTGGGACACTTTATGCCTCGGGTGGTCAGAGAAGGGTGGTGTCAAACTTAAAGGTAGGACTTAGTTCAATTTACTTAGCAACCAATGTAAAGACAGGAATGATTTGTGTAAGGTAGTAGCAGAAGCTAAGTTTAGAAAGGGACAAGGAGGTGAAGAGGTGAATATCTTAAACCCTTTTGTGGAATGTTAATGCCAAGCGAATATTCCTAAGTTTTCACTGAAGAAAGTGTTCTGTGGTCCAACACATTTTGAAAACGTTGGCTTAAGAAAACTTCCAATGTCTTGATAATATATTCAGTTTCTTAGTGAATGTGCATGTACATGGAGAAGTGGTGATAGCAGGTAGCATTTCTTTCCTTTTCTTTTTTTTTAAATGAAGCTTCTATTAATATTCAGGGAGTCTAGTGTTTCTTAGCACATGGTTTAGGAAACAGCACGTTAAGAAATTGAGAGCTTATCCTAAAGGATGTGCAGAACCACAGAAAGCTTTTCAGTGAGAGATGAAGTGGCATGTTACCAAGATTAATTTGGTGTAGCTTTCAGATGAAATGAAAAGGGAGAAAATGAACACAAGGAGAAGACTATGGTAATAGTTCAAGGGTGAAGTGATGAGGACCTGAATTGGAGCAGTGGGTGCGTGACCGGAAAGAAGAAGAAACATATGGGAGGCAACACAAAGGAAGGATCTTCGGCTTCAATAGATAACTGAATGTGATGGGTGAGGGCGAGGCAGGAGTCAAATGTTATTCTGAGGTGTTGAGTCAAGGAAACACTTGAGACCATTGATGGAAATGGACCCATACACATAGACAGTGCTAGTGAGCTATAAAGGATGCTGAGCTTCATGTGGCTGTGGAGGTGATTATGTACAAGAGCTGCTAATGTAGGTACAAAAGTTGAGGTGAGAGTCAAGGCGGGGCATATCAGCTTGGGAATTTGTATAGCTGCGCTTTGGGTGGTGGAGGGCTGGTATGAAGAGTGTGCAAACCTTATGGGCAGATTGGAGTTACAAAAGAATACAGTGTGTGTAGTCAGAAGACTTGATTTCTAGTTTTATCTCTGTCAGTAATTCTTTGTAGTTGTGGTCAAATTATTTATCTTGCCTGAACCTCCTTCTATATTTAGGAACAATAAAAATGCCTGCCTCAAAGGATTGTTGTCAAGGTTGAATTTCGTAATGTCTGTGGAGTTGCTTTGTAAATTGTAAAGGGCTGTACCAGTTTTAGTTCTACTATGAGGGATAAATCAATAGAGGTGCAAACCTAAAATATAAATGTCAGATCCAGAGTTTAGTCCCAGAGTAAGGAGGCAGTGAGTAAAAAATCACTCTAGTTCATGCCAACAGACATGCCAGAATCCATGGAGCTGAACTACTATGGAGGAGGGAAGGAAGGGTCAAAGTGGCAAGTGGTTTGTAACAAGGACTTCTCAGAGCAATTATTAGGGATCTACTCATTGGGAATCTGAGGCATGAGGCCGTGGGCCACAGGTTGCTCAAAATGAGGTAAGAAATCCAAATCAGTAGGTCTGGGGCGGAAGACAAAGACATAAATTCCTGAGGCTTAGAATGCCAAGAGCAGAACAGAAACAAAAGCAAGCCTCCTGTCAAGGCTAAGCAGGTGAATACACAGCAAGAATTAGCCACAGAATTGGGAGCAGAGCATATTTCAGGAAGTCCTTAATTAATATAAAACACAATTATTTTATAATCAATGCTAGCACTTAGTGTGTGGGTCAGGAATTATTTAATACAAGCTGTTCTTACAGCAACTTACAATGACTAAATCACTTATTCCTCTAACAACCCCGTTATCGTTAGCATTTTTCAGATGAAGAAACTCAAACCCAGAAAAGCAAAGTAATTTGCCCAAGCTTACATAACTAGTAAGCAGCAGAGCCAGGACTTGCAGGCAGTGTCATTGGCCTTAGAGTCCAGCCCCTGTACTGCTATGCTGCAGTTGCCAGCGTTGAGAAGTGGCTAGAAAATGCAGGTCACCCATCCCATCATCCACACTCCCATGGTTTGGGGGTGGTTATTTGTTAACCTCTGTTCTCTCTATCTCTATACTCCTGATACCCTTTTATGCCACTGATCAGTGTATTCGTTATCACTGAGTATTACTCCTAACACAAAGGATGGCTTACTTTTCTTATTCTATTGGAATTAGACTTTTCCTCTATTATGGAGGCAGTATGATAGACAAATGTAGGGTGTACTTCAGGTTCAGAGAAGGTTGGATTTGAGTACTGGTTCTACTCCCTGGTGGCTGTGAACCCTTGGCTTTGTTACTTCAATCCTCTAAGCCCAAGTTCTGTCATCTGTTGCGATAAGCTAGTGTTGTACATGAGGAGTCTATGCACAGGCTTTGGAACTAGACACTTTGAGTCCTGGCTTGGCCATTTATTAGCTATGGGAGTTTGGGCAAATTTGAACTTTTCTGTTTTTCAGTATCCCCATCTATAAAATAGGATAATAGCAATTATACCTCCACCAGAGAGTTGTTGTGAAGATTTAATGGAATATTGGCATAATGCCTGAGACACGGTGAGTGCTCAACCAATCTTCTCTACAATTTATTTTTATAGGGTTATGAATTTATAACACAGCTTATATAGGGCTATAATTCTGTGCAGTGGTGAGTACAATGCAAGGCACAGAGCAGGTCTAAACACCATGTGTTATTATTATCTTCTTCTTCCTCTTCTTTTTTTTTTTTTGAGACACAGTCTCACTATGTCACCCAGGCTGTGCAGTGCAGTGGCATGATCACAGCTCACTGTAGCCTCAATGTCCCAGGCTCAAGCAGTCCTCCTGCCTCAGTCTCCCCAGTAGCTGGGCCCACAGGCATGTCACCGTGCCTGGCTATTTTTTTTTTTTTTCAAGTTTTGATGAAAGCTTGTATACAAGATTCCTTTATTCCTTTATCCAATTGTTTCTTCCTTGTATTTGCCCCTTTCCCTTCCTACTTGCTAAGATTTGGCTTTCCGTTCAAGAATCTTTTTGCAGTCTTTGTCCAGTTTTAGCCTAGTGCTAACCACCTTGCTGGGGTGAATGCCTATGTGGACAGTTGTGCCATTAGCCTTTTCCTGCTGCACCTGTGCAATGTAGGTGACATATTTCTTCCTGTAAACCTGGACTACTTTGCCAATTTGCTGACCTTTGTAGTGCCTGTGTACAACCTGAACTTCATCATCCTTTCGGATGGTCATGGATTGAACATTGTACTTCTGTCTCAGCTCTTTGCAAAGAGAGGAAGACCTAATATTTCTGAGAATGTGGGAAAGTGCATTGAAATGCCTTTTGTGGTACTTGCTTCGATCAGAAGTCACAAAGGGATTGAACTCCACTTTGGCCACTGCCGCTTTGGTGATGGCCACAAAAGGGAAGAGCTATTTTTTTATTTTTTATTTTTATGTAGAGACAAGGGTCTCCCTATGTTGCCCAGGCTGGTCTTGAACTCCTGGGCTCAAGTGATCCTCCCGCCTTGACCTCCCAGAGTGTTGAGACTACAGGCGTGAGCCACCGTGCCCGGCCTATTATCTTCTTATTTATCTTGACACACAGAACGACAGCAGTCTGCAGTCTGCATTCTTCCCCCTGATGGCCGATCCTCTGCATCCATCCTCAGGATCAATCTTCAGGGTTATGTCTCTTAAATTAAAAGACTGCTATGTATGCTTGAATCTAAAATTCAATCTTGTTACTGATTCCAAGATACTTAGAGAAAGTTTCCTAATAGAGCTATTGGCTGCAGGGCAGCATCTGCTCATTCCTTTCTGTTTTCTCATCTGAGGAATCTCTCTGCCCTTTGCACTCCATGAGGATTTCCACAGCTGGCCTCATTCCACAGGAAGAGCTTGAGGAGGCACAGTTCTGTTGGACACCTCTCCTTGCTGCTAGCTGGGTGATTCTTTGTAAGCCCCTCTCCTGAATATTACTACATACCCTACTTCATCCTCAAGCTCTGGGCAAGAAAATACACTTCTTTTTTAGTTGACTGTTAAATTTTTATCAAAATTAAAAAATAATTAGGTAAGATTGAAAAGAAGTCATCAGCCCTATCCTGCCATTCCCCACTTCTGACTTCTCAATTTAACTGTTTGAGCTGCATCTCTGCATTTTATTTAAAAACCAGTCAATCTAGCTAATTTTTTTCAGTTTTATACGTGTATTATTTCTTGTCATTTTACTGTGGAAGAGGAGCATTTGGTTTTTTTAGACCTCTTCTCTTCAACGCAAATACATACAAGACAAACACACATGTATTTCCTTTCTCCATATAATAATTATATCATAATTTTGGCATACAGCAATATTCACTATGTACATGATTATAACTATGTTAACATTAATCATAGCTGAGTCATAGATTATTCTGTTATCACCAATTATTATGTTTCCTTTCTTCTTTTTCTTTTTTTTTCTGGAAACAGCGTCTCACTCTGTTGCCCAGGCTGGAGTGCAGTGGTGTGATCTTGGCTCACTGGGTTCAAACGATTCTCCTGCCTCAGCCTCCCGAGTAGCTGGAATTACAGGTGCATGCCACCATGCCCAGCTGATTTTTGTACTTTTAGTAGAGACAGGGTTTCACCATGTTGGTCAGGCTGGTCTTGAACTCCTGACCTCCTGATCCGCCCGCCTCGGCCTCCCAAAATGCTGGGATTACAGGTGTGAGCCACAGCGCCCAGCCACTCCTCTATGTTTTTTTAAGTGTGTACTTTCTGTAATTTTTCTTCTCTTTTTGTGTTACTCATGGGAGGTATTCTCTATCTCTCAACATTTTCATTAAAATTTTCATTTCTACTCTCAAATTTCTTAAAGAACATTTTATTCTCTGATGTTCCTTTTTCTTGTATGATGTGATGTTCTATTTATTCTTATTTTATAGGTGCAATATCTTTTCTAATTTCTCTGAGGTAATGCATTATGTGTATTTTGCAATATCTTTCTTTCCCCTGAGATTGCTTTTTGTGTGTTTATTTTTCTAACATTAGAGGTTTTTAAAATGACTGGTGCTTCTTAGCTCTTTGTTCACTTTCATAAATGAATCAAGAAACATTATCTAGAAGCACAGCATTCCCAGATGAAGCTTTGATGGGTGGGCTTCAGCATTTGGGTGGGGCCTCAGCTACTTCACTGTGCCATCTCTAAATACCACGACCCGTAAGTCTCTTCTACTGATGTGTCAGTATACTCAGAAAGAGACCTCCTAGTCTTTAGCCTGTCAGGTGTAAGCTGGCTGCCAGCATCCTGGGAAACTCAGAGAGGACGGGGCCTGGAGTGGGGATACAGAAGGAGTCTTAGTCAATGCCCCTGTTTTCATAGGACTCTTGGTCTTGGATACATGTGTCATCCCTGAGTATAGAGTGCTCTAGGTCAACTTTTCCTGGTTCCCGCTAAAGATAGAGTAACGGTAGCTCATTGACTTCAGGGATCTAACGGCTTCTGTGCAGACATTTTAACCAGCCTTTATTCAGCCTTCTAATCTCGACTGTTTTTGAGTTCCTGAGGCTTCCTAATAATCTGTAGTATAAATTTGGGCATTAGGGCTACTGCACTTACAGTTTAGGTTTCTGTTTTCCTTGGTCTGCTAAGTTGGTTACCCATCCATCTGTTTTGCAAAACAGCATTTTGTTGCTGTCATCTCCAGTCTCTTTTTGATTATTGAGGGTTATGTCTTTTGCAGTTTCTTAGTTATCATTTTAGTGAGGCTTGGGAAGAAGCAGGTGTAAACTCATATGATAAAGCTCACGGGTAAATGGAAGTTCTTTGGGAGGTACTTCAGCACCATTCTCTGAGGGGCATGTGTAGGTTTACCAAGCAAAGAAGACAGTTCTTTTCTTCTTTACATACATTTTCCTTCCTGACAGCAGCCAGACTTTTTTTTCCAGGATTTAACTCTTTTTTTTTTTTTTTTTTTAGCTGGATGAAACTGTAACCAGGGGTCCTGCTCTCTCCTATTCAGGTCCTTTTCTCTCTTATGCCAAAGAATCAGTTTGATTCTTTCTTCTTGAGATTTGAATCCTCAGAAGAAGTAAAAACAGGTCTGAAAATATTTGGAATTTATCCATCTCCCATCCACAGCATTCTAACCAGATTCCTTCCTCTATTAGGCCATTCCTGGTTTTCTTGCCTTCTAGGTTCCAGAAACTGTCTTGGTTCCTATTGATTTCTAGTTTGGTTCTTCAGGCTTCCAGTCAATTCCATTAACTTCTGATAATGTTTCAATGAATGTCTCTTTTGTTTAAGTTAGCCGTAATTGTGTACAACCAAAGAACTACAATTGATGCAGAAACTCAGTAGTTTATTTGATTTTGAAACAATTTCTTATGTTTTGTAGTTTCAAGGCTGAGAAACAACAACAGAAAAAAAACAAATTTAGGTGTTTTCTTTTTCTGCCAAAGTAATGGATTCCTTCATGATATGATTTCATATTTTCATGAAATAACTTTTGTGAAAGAATTAGAGGACTAGGACCCCAATATTAGTAAACTATTGCTGCAAAAAGCTATTGTGACAAAAACAATATATCAGTGGCAAGTGATAAGCATTTATTTCTTGCTCATGTATCTGTGGGTGACTGAAGTGGCTCTTCTTCAAGCTGCAGATTTGCATTGGCTGGAGCTGTTCTGTTCAATGCATTTAATTATGGGGCCAAGCCAGATGGGCAGAAGCTATTCAGGTTATATCCTTATTAAAATAATGGCAAAAAAGTGATGTAGGGAAAGCCCAACTGCATATGTTAATTTCAAGCCTTTGCTCATGTCTCATCAAATATCGCATTGGCCAAAGCAAGTCACCTAGCCAAACTCACAGTGAGAAGACAGGGAACTCCACCTACCATGAGGCCATGTGATGTATGATGACAGATACCATTTCAGGGAAGTGAAGAATTTGGACAAATACTTCAATCTACCAGTCTTCCCTATTAATCATGATTATCCACATGCTTATATTCCCTCCAACTTCATCTAATCCTAATATCAGGCCAGAAAGTCCAGGATCTTGTGATATAAAGCAAATCTAGATGTGCTTTTCTTTGAGTCAGAGACCTATGAATAATAAAGACAATTTTACTGTTTACACTTAACATACAATTGTGGCGTGAGAGCACAATAACAGAAATAAACACTTTCATTAGAAAGAGAAAGAGTGGTAGGCATATAGCAGTTACTGCTCAATAGTTGTTCCCAAAGCCTGCTGTACAAATATTTCTGGGTCCTTCTATCCTGGGGCAAGGAATGTTTCATGATTAAGTTTTAGTTATTTTCTTTAGGAGTGGCATCTTAATCTATTATTCTTCAAGCTCTTGGTTCTGCACACTGGAAGTCCCTTACTTTTCCATCCTTACCCAGCTTCTTAATTCTGGAAGACTGAAGACTCAGAGGTAATTTTTTTTTTTTTTTTTTTTTTTTTTTGCGTGTGTGTGTGTGTGTGTGTGTGTGTGTGTGTGTGTGAGCAATAAAGCTTTTTATTTCACCTGGGTGCAGGTGGGCTGAGTCCAAAAAGAGAGTCAGTGAAGGGAGATAGGGGTGGGGCCGTTTTATAGGATTTGGGAAGTTAATGAAAATTACAGTCAAAGGGGGTTGTTCTCTGTTGGGCAGGGGCGGGTGTCACAAGGTGCTCAGTGGGGGAGCTTCTGAGCCAGAAGAAGGAAATTCACAGGGTTAATCACTCAGTTAAGGTGGGGCAGGAACAAATCACAATGGTGGAATGTCATCAGTTAAGGATGGGGCAGGGCCTTTTCACTTCTTTTGTGATTCTTCAGTTACTTCAGGCCATCTGGGCGTATACGTCCAAGTCACAGGGGATGCAATGGCTTGGCTTGGGCTCAGAGGCCTGACATTCCTGCCTTCTTATATTAATAAGAAAAATAAAAGAAAATAGTGTTGAAGTGCTGGGGCGGCGAAAATTTTTGGGGGTGGTATGGAGAGAGAATGGGCGATGTTTCTCAGGGCTGCTTCGAGCAGGATTAGGGGCAGCGTGGGAACCTAGAGTGGGAGAGATTAAGCTGGAGGAAGATCTTGTGGTAAGGGGTGATATTGTGGGGTTGTTAGAAGGAACATTTGTCATATAGAATGATTGGTGATGGCCTGGATATGGTTTTGCATGAATTGAAAAACTAAATGGAATAAGAGAAGGAGAAAAACAGGTATAAAAGGTCTAAGAATTGGGAGGACCTAGGACATCTGATTAGAGAGTGCCTAAGGAGATTCAGCATAGTCCTGTCAGCAAAGATTATTTATTTACTTCAAGAGTTTAGAGTGGCAGTTTGGGGATAGCACCAGGAGGTATCAGCTGTGATGGCTTGGAGAAACAGTAAACCGGCAGTGTAAACAAGAGCAGGGCATGCATGAGTACTTGAGAATAGTGAATAGGAGTATGACTAGAAAAAAGATAGTAGGGATGACAAGTTTTTTTGGGGCACAGTCTAAGTTGGTCTGGTGTCGAATGAGACTGGGGCCTAATAAAAATGAGTGTCTATACAGGAGCTTAAATGGGCTGTACTTTGTAACATTCTGAGGACAGGCCTGAATTCTGAGAAGAGAAAGTGGTAAAAGTATTGTTCAGTCCTTTTTAAGTTGGTGGCTGAGCTTGGTGAGGTGTGTTTTTAAAAGACCTTTAGTCCATTCTACTTTTCCTGAAGACGGAGGACCATAAAGGATATAAAGGTTTCACTGAATACTAAGAGCCTGAAAAACTGCTTGGCTGATTTGACTAATAAAGGCTGGTCTGTTATCAGACTGTATAGAGGTGGGAAGGCTAAACTGAGGAATTATGTCTGACAGAAGGGAAGAAATGACTGCGATGGCCTTCTCAGACCCTGTAGGAAAGGCCTCTATTTATTCAGTGAAAGAGTCTATTTAGACTAAGAGGTATTTTAGTTTCCTGACTCGGGCATGTTGAGTAAAGCTAATTTGCCAGTCCTGGGTGGGGGCAAATCCTCCAGCTTGATGTGTAGGGAAGGGAGGGGGCCTGAATAATCCCTGAGGAGTAGTAGAATAGCAGATGGAACACTGAGAAGTTATTTCCTTGAGGATAGATTTCCACGATGGAAAGGAAATGAGAGGTTCTGAGAGGCCGGCTAGTGGCTTGTACTATAGCATAGCCTACCTTTGCTGGTGTGTGGCGATTAGGCCTGGTGGAACTGCCATCAATAAATCAAGCATGATCAGGGTGAGGAACAGGAAAGAAGGAAATATGGGGAAATAGGGTGAATATCAGGTGGATCAGAGAGATACAGTCATGGGGGTCAGGTGTGGTATCAGGAATAATGTGAGAGGCCAGATTGAAGTCCGGGCCAGGAACAATGGTAATTGTGGGACTTAAAGAGTGAGTACAGCTGAAGGAGCCGGGGAGCAGAAAGTATATGTGTCAAGTATGAGGAAGAAAATGGATTTTGGAAGTTATGAGAAATGTAGAGAGTGAGTTGAGCATAGTTTGTGATTTTTAGGGCCTCTAACATATTAAAGCAGCGGCAGCCGCCGCACGCAGACATGAAGGCTAGGCTAAAACAGTAAGGTCGAGTTGTTTGGACAGAAAGGCTACAGGGTGCGGTCCTGGCTCTTGTGTAAGAATTCTGACCGCACTAACCATGCCTAGGAAGGAAAGGAGTTGTTGTTTTGTAGAAGGTGCTGGGGTTTGAGAGATCAGTCGGACACGATTGGCAGGGAGAGCACGTGTGTTTTTATGAGATTTATGCCGAGATAGGTAACAGATGAGGAAGAAATTTGGGCTTGATTGAAGTAATGGGGGCTGTCCGTGAAGCTTTGTGGCAGTACAGCCTAGGTAATTTGCTGAGCTTGATGGGTGTGAGGGTCAGTCCAAGTGAAAGCGAAGAGAGGCTGGGATTAAGGGTGCAAAGGAATAGTAAAGAAAGCATGTTTGAGATCTAGAACAGAATAATGGGTTGTAGAGGCAAGTATTGAGGATAGGAGAGTATATGGGTTCGGCACCACGGGGTGGATAGGCAAAACAATTTGGTTGATAAGGTGCAGATCCTGAACTAACTTGTAAGGCTTATCTGGTTTTAGGACAGGTAAAATGGGGGAATTGTAAGGAGAGTTTATAGGCTTTAAAAGGCCATGCTGCAGCAAGCGAGTGATAACAGGCTTTAATCTTTTTAAAGCGTGTTGCGGGATGGGATCTTGGCGTTGAGTGGGGTAAGGGTGATTAGGTTTTAATGAGATGGTAAGGGGTGCATGATCGGTTGCCAAGGAGGGAGTAGAGGTATCTTATACTTGTGGGTTAAGGTGGGGGGATACAAGAGGAGGACGAAAAGGAGGCTTTGGATTGGGAAGAAGGGCGGCAACGAGATATAGCTGTAGTCTAGGAATAGTCAGGGAAGCAGACAATTTAGTTAAAGTGTCTCAGCCTAATAAGGGAACTGGGCAGGTGGGGATAACTAAAAAGGAGTGCTTAAAAGAGTATTGTCTAAGTTGGCACCAGAGTTGGGGAGTTTTAAGAGGTTTAGAAGCCTGGCCGTCAATACCCACAACAGTTATGGAGGCAAGGGAAACAGGCCCTTGAAAAGAAGGTAATGTGGAGTGGGTAGCCTCAGTATTGATTAAGAAGGGGACGGGCTTACCTTCCACTGTGAGAGTTACCCGAAGCTCGGCGTCCGTGATGGTCTAGGGGGCTTCCGAGGCGATTGGGCAGTGTCAGTCTTCAGCCGCTAAGCCGAGAAGATCTGGGAAGGAGTCAGAGAGCCTTGGGCCAGAGTTCCAGGGGCTCTGGGAGTGGCTGCCAGGTGAGTTGAACAGTCCGATTTTCAGTGGGGTCCCACACAGACGGGACGTGGCTTAGGAGGAATCCCGGGCTGTGGGCATTCCTTGGCCCAGTGGCCAGATTTCCGGCACTTGTAGCAAGCTCCTGGGGGAGGAGGTTCTGGAGGAACGCCTGGCCGCTGCAGTTCAGGCATTTGGAAGTTCTTGTGTGCTGGAGATGTGGCTGGGGTTTGTCTCACAGTGGAGGCAAGGAATTGCAACTTTTTTCTGTTATTGTACACCTTGAAGGTGAGGTTAATTAAGTCCTGTTGTGGGGTTTGAGGGCCAGAATTTAATTTTTGGAGTTTTATTTGATGTCGGGAGCAGATTGGGTAATAAAATGTATTTTGAGAATAAGACGGCCTTTTGACCTTTTAGGGTCTAGGGCTGTAAAGCGTCTCAGGGTTGCTGCCAAACGAGCCATGAACTGGGCTGGATTTTTATATTCGATGAAAAAGAGCCTAAACGCTTCTGATTTGGGATAAAGAAAAAGGAGCATTAACCTTGACTATGCCTTTGGCTCCAGCCACCTTTTTACGAGTAAATTGCTGGGCAGGTGGGGGAGGGCTAGTCACGGAATGAAACTGTAAGCCGGACCAGGTGTGAGGAGGGGAGGTGATAAAAAGATTATAGGGTGGAGGAGCAGAGGCTGAGGAAGAATTGGGACCTAGCTCGGCCTGGAGAGGAGCAGCCTGGGGAGGAAGGGAGAGGTCAGATGGGTCTGTAGAAAAGGAAGATTAGAAAGACTCAGCGACGCTTGGGGTTGGTACTGAGGGGACAGGTGGGAGGGAAAGAAGGAAGATTTGGGACAAGTTGCACTGGGCACAGAGACTAGGAAGGGACTGATGTGTAAAAGAATGCCTGGACGTCAGGCACCTCAGACCATTTGCCTATTTTATGACAAGAATTATTTAGATCTTGCAGGATGGAAAAATTCAAAGTGCCATTTTCTGGCTATTTGGACAAATACTGTCGAGTTTGTATTGGGGTCAAGCGGCATTGCAGAAGAAAATAAGGCATTTAGGTTTTAGGTCAGGTGTGAGTTGAAGAGGTTTTAAGTTTTTGAGAACACAGGCTAAGGGAGAAGAAGGAGGAATGGAGGGTGGAAGGTTGCCCATAGTGAAGGAGGCAAACCCAGAGAAAAGAGAGCGTAGAGACATGGAGGGAAGGGGTTTGGGGGTTCTTACCCTCCTGAAAAGCAGGAAGGGGGGTCGGGGCATGGAAATAAGGGATTGGGGCACAGAGATAAGAGGTTGGGGCACAGAAATAAGGGATTGGGGCGCAGAGATATGAGGTTGGGGCATGGAAATAAGGGATTGGGGGATCTTGCCCCCTAGAAAAGCGGGACTTGCCGCTAAGGGTGAAGGAGAAGGGGTTGAGGGGTACTTGCCCCTCCCCCAGAAAAGCAGAAAAGGGGTAGAGACAAGGAGAGAAGGGGTTGGGGTACTTGCCCCTTCCCCAGAAAAGCGGGACTTGCCGCTAAGGGTGAAGGACCAAGGCAGGCATCCCTTCGTGGTCTGACACCTTTGAAACGTGGGTCAATAATCAGAGAGGCTTCCCTGCAATGATTAAACACCAAGGGAAGGCTGCCTTCCCAGTCTGTGACTGGCGCCGGAGTTTTGGGCCCACTGGTAAAATGTGTCTCCTTTGTCTCTCCCAGAAAATGAAAGGAATTGAAATTAAGAGAAGGGAGAGAATGAAGAGTGGAAAGGAGAAAGTGGTTGAGGGACAGTGAGAGAGGTTGGAGAAAGAGAGTAAGAAGAGGCCGCTTACCTGATTTAAAATTGGTGAGATGTTCCTTGGGCTGGTTGGTCTGAGGACCTGAGGTCGTAGGTGGATCTTTCTCACGGAGCAAAGAACAGGAGGACAGGGGATTGATCTCCCAAGGGAGGTCCCCCGATCCAAGTCACGGCACCAAATTTCATGCGCGTCCATGTGAAGAGACCACCAAACAGGCTTTGTGTGAGCAATAAAGCTGTTTATTTCACCTGGATGCAGGTGGGCTGAGTCCAAAAAGAGAGTCAGCCAGTAATTTTTTAAAATTATTATTATACTTTAAGTTTTAGGGTACATGTGCACAACGTGCAGGTTTGTTACATATGTATACATGTGCAGCCTCAGCTTTTTTAAGACCAGGCTGCTGACACTTTTGCCAATATAATTCTCTCAGAAATATTATGTGTTTTCTATGTATTTGATTCCATTTAACTCCATGTGCCAAAAACACACCACAATTCTGGGTCTTAAAAAAATGAAATAGGCTGGGTGCGGTGGCTCATGCCTGTAATACCAGCACTTTGGGAGGCCAGGGTGGGCAAATCACCTGAGATCAGGAGTTCAAGACCAGCCAGGCAAACATGGTGAAACCCCATCTCTACTAAAAATACAAAAATTAGCTGGGCATGGTGGCACATGCCTGTAGTCCCAACTACTCAGTAGGCTGAGGCAGGAGAATCGCTTGAACCTGGGAGGCAGAGGTTGCAGTGAGCTGAGATTGTGCCACTGCACTCCAGCCTGGGTGATAGAGTGAAACTCCATCTCAAAAAAAAAAAAAAAAATAGGCATACCATTACAGCCTTGCTATATTTTTAGAACACATACGAGTCCCAATGAACAGAGGTCTGTTGAGCCACAACGACAGAATTATGGTCCTTTACCTAATTCCCAGAAATGGTTCCATTAGACCCAGATCCCTCCAATGAAGGAGACTAGGTTACTTCAGGGATAAATACTGCTATAATAACCACAAATGAGGTACATGAACCTTCTTCCAAGCCTTCGCCAAAGGGTTCTAGTACTACTTACTTGGTTTAAATAGCTGTGAAAAAATGCCCCAGACTTTCAGGAACTACTGGATGCTGCCTCTGAGGAAATACTATTTCCCGAGGATGACCAATTACCACTGCTTCCCCCTATCAGAGAAAGGGCTCCTGAGACTCAAGAAACAAATTGGATCCTGTCCAGTTTGCCTCAAAATAGGTCAAACAGTTCCCTGAACCCATATGGTTGTCATTCTCCTGGTTCTTGAATGTATATTTGGCAACGATATTCTTAACAATTGATAGAAGTCCGTTTTCTGATAATTCAGAGAAGACATTCTCTTTCTTTTAAATGCCAGCCTCGAAAGTATTTAGAGAATATCTTCATATTTTTCCTCAGACTTTGATGCCTTAGAGTTTCTGATATCACATTCTTTCCTGAATATTCGCCTTGGGTCTTTTCCTCTGGGTGAGCTTGAACTGGTCAACATGCTTGTTGAAATGGTGCCCAGAATAGCATGGATTATTTCAGAGATGATATGAAAAGGGAATATGCTTGGGGATTATTAGTTCCTGGGAAAGAAGCATTACTAATGTAGCTAACATGGAAGTTTGTGTTTAAAGATATATCACGTTACTCATTTTCAACTTATGAACAACTAAAGGTACAGAGATTTTTCACTTCATTTATTAACAAGACAGAGTTTTCCTATCCCATGCTTGTAAAATTGATTTTAAAAAATTTTTTAGGATAAAAAGTGACATATGTTCACTAAATGAAAGTTGAAAATGTGAAAAAATGAAAAAAAAACCATCATCCATAAGAATAGGTGTCATTTTCTCAGCAATGTTTGCTCTTCATGATTTAAAAAAATACAAGCATGATTATAAAATTGAACATACTAATTCTAAAATTATTTTTTTCTGATAGAAGTAATATACAATATTACTAATAGTAGAAAAAAATTAAATATGGGAAAATATAAAGAAGACAGCTTTTCCCACAAATGATATTGAGTATTTCTGCCTGTGTTTATTTGCCATCTGCATATCTTCTTTGGTAGAATGTCTAATAAAATATTTTGAACATCTTAAAAATCAAATTGTTCATTTTATGATTGAGTGTTGTTGTTGTTGTTGTTGTTACATAGCCAAGTAAGATTCGCTAAATCTTCATTTGGCATGGCAAAGGTAACTCTACTGTTTCCATGGAAAATTGCTCTAAAAACCAACAGAGAAAGTCTCAGAAAAGTCCCCTTTCCGTGGGTCCAACAGTGTTCCTCTACCTTGTTTTCTACCCAATCTCAACTTTTCCTTAAAAGAAAATCAAAACGTATCTATAGATATACATGTAAATAGAAATCACTTTCTGAAATACTAATTGAAAATTTAGAACTATACCCTTAGAATTTTGTGAAGACCACAGAGTGAATGAGAATTATATTGCTCTTATCACCTAAAATATAGCCAGTTTTACTTTCTAAAACTTATGGATTGACATACAGAAGGTCAGGTAATAACTCTAGAGCTTTATAATAGAACATTATTAGCATTTATAAAAGATATTTCTTTAATTATATTATCACCTAACAATGACCATACAGTGGACAGGAGAGTAATTTGAAAATGTCCTTATAGTAACTTCTCTGCTCATAAGGAGATATTAATAAATATGAACAGATATTCTACATACCTATGGATCTGGAAAAGCATTTATTCACTAATACATTGTATTTGTGTTCTCTAATTTAGCATCATCTTTTCATCTTGCTTGATTTTCCTGCAGCTAAACATTTGTAGTTCCCCCCTAAAAAAAGCAATGACAATCTTTCTTATAAATTACGTTCTCTGATTTCCTTGTCAACCTGCTTCAAGAAAATCCATGTGTTCAAAACGCTTGCTCACAGTCTGCCCCACAGCAAATGATTGTTTAACCCAAATATCTGTGCAGCAAACTGAGCTGATCCTTCTGGAGAAAGGGTGGTTGAGCAGCTGAGACCACTGGGTAGTCGAGGAGAAGACCACACATCCTGAGCTCCCCAGTCTGCTTGAGCGGAGGACAGCTGATAACTGGATATGCAGTGTTCCCAGACGTCACTGGTCCCAAACCATTTCTTCTGCCTGCCACTGCCACAAACACAGTGGGAATGCCATCCCCTTCACACTCACCTTTAATCCGCAGAGTTTTATCTGGTCCTTTATGCACAGATGTTACTTGAAGTTCTCAGGAAATGCCAAGATTTCCACAGGCCTTCTTGATTTTTTCACAGTGGCCAAGATCAGAAGTAGAGCCTACCAATACTGCCATCCCGCACGGACTTTCTAATTTCAAAAGCAACTCTTCTCTCTCTGCAACCCACTCTAAGTTTTTCTATAACCATCTTGAGCCCTTCAGGAGTTACTTCTTTGAGGTCCTGATGAGGCTGTTTGTCTTTCTGTTGGCTTCCATCTACTGATGGCCAGAGTCTCCAGGAATCATTATCAATAACATCAGCAAGAACAATTTCTTTAGGGGTTACATCAACACCAAATTTGATCTTCATATCAACCAGCATACAGTTCTGGGGCAACCAAGATTTCTCCAGTATTTCAAAAAAGAGCCTATGTAGTATATGACATGATATCCACTTCAGTTTGGCCTATGAGAAGTTCACCAAAGCAAAATTTTGGAGCAATTAGCTGTTCCTCAGATGACTCTGGGTCATTACTGGCATCATCCTTGAAAAACATCTCCACTTTAGGTGGGTAAAACTTATATCCTTCCTTGTCATCAGGATTTCTTTTGAAAAAAGAATCAGTTGCTATTCTTCTGCAAACCCATTCAGTTGGAATCATTTCACACTCGGGAGCAGCAAAAGCTGTCTGTTTCCCCACATTTTCTGGTGAAAGCAGTTTTGACACTTGCTTCCTGTAACAACTGAAAAACACAACTGGTAATTTTATTTGAGATTGCAGCTTTTACCTTTTACTTCCGGGTGATTCTTTCTTTTTTTTTTTTTTTTTTTGAGGCAGGTCTCGCTCGGTCGCCCAGGCTGGAGTGCAGTGGCACGAGTGAAGTAGCACGATCTTGGCTCACTGCAAGCCCCGCCTCCCGGGTTAACGCCATTCTCCTGGCTCAGCCTCCCAAGTAGCTGGGACTACAGGCGCCCGCCACCATGCCCAGCTAATTTTTTGTATTTTTAGTAGAGACGGGGTTTCACTGTGTTAGCCAGGGTGGTCTCTCCTGACCGCATGATCCGCCCGCCTCGGCCTCCCAAAGTGCTGGGATTACAGGCCTGAGCCACCGCACCTGGCCCAGGTGATTCTTTCTAACTGCATTTCCTGCTGTTATCTGGTCCTTGAACTGCAGGAGGATTTTTTCTGGACTATCTAATAATTTATGGACTTTGTTTTACCCTCATTCAGTTTTTTACCAATACTTAGTACCTCAGCTGTTGCCAGTATCCTGAGTGGGCTGAAGGTTGTGACCCCACTGGGAAGAGAGGCAGAAATCTCGGATACCGGTTCTTCATCAGAAATGCCTTTTGCAAATATTTTCTCCTGGTGTACAGCTTGTCTTCTAAGGTTCTGAACAGTGTCTTACAAGAGCAGAAGTTCTTAACTTTGATGAATCACTATCAATTTTATCTTCATGATTGAGATTAGATTTCATATCTAATAAGTCTTTGTTTAATCCAAGGTATCAATTTGTGGTCTTATGATTTCTTCTGAATTTTTATTTTTTCTTACACTTCAGTTTATGATTCATTTTTATTTAATTTTTACATATGGTGTGAAGTATGGGTCAAGATTTAAAAAATTTTGCAAATGGATGTTCAATTTTTTCAGACCATCTGTTAAAAAAATTCTCTTTTCTGCACTGAGTTTTCTTTGTACCTTTATCAAATATTAATTGATAATTTATATGTGAGTCTTTATCTGGACTTTGTTTGGTTACAGTGATTTATGTGTCTGTCCTTTCACCAATATGACATTGTTTTGATTAATGTAGCTTTATACTTTAATCTTGATCTATACATCTTGATTAATGTGTCTTGAAATGAAATAATTAAGTCCTTGGGCTTTGTTCTTTTCAAAATTATATCAGCTCTTGTAATTCCTTTGATTTTTTTCCATAAAAATTTTAGAATTAACTTGTCAATTTCTCCAAAAAGAATATTGCTGGGATTTTTTGTAAGATTGCATGGAATCTATGGAAGGTTAATTTATGATTAACGTTAATAAATTAATATAACAATGTTGAGACTTGCAAATCTTGAATAACGAACATCTTGTATTTGTTTAGGCCTTTGATTTCTTTCACTGGCGTTTTGGAGTTTTCAATATGCAGATTGTACACTTGTATAAACATATTTTGTTAAATTTATACCAAAGTGTTTCTTATTTTTCTTATTATTATAATAGCACTGCTTGAAAATTTTCAGTTTCTACTGGTAGTATATAGAATGTAGACAGAAATGTGATTTTGTGTATTAAATATACATTGGCCTTCTAACTATTGACCTTGCTAAATTTACTAATTAGTTCTAATACCTTTCTTGTAGATTCTTACAATTTTCTAAACATACAATCATGTCATCTGCAAAGAGAAACATTTTTACTTCTTCTAATCTGTAGGTCTTTTTTTTTTTTTTTTGAATTTCTTCTCTTATTGCACTTAGAATTTTCAGTGTGTCTAAAAAGAGTGGTAAGAATGGACTTCTCGTCCTTATTCCTGATCTTAGGGGCAAAACATTTGGTCTTTTAGCATTAACTCTGATGTTAGCAGCCCATTTTGTAGATACTCTCCCTCAGTTTGAGGAAGTTCCTTTCTATTATTAATTGATGAGAATTTTTGTTATGGTTGGATTTCAAATTTTGTCCAGTGATTTTCTGCATCTTTTGAGATGAGCAATGTTTTTCTTCTTTTGTCTACTGATGTGGTGAACTAATTTAATTAACTTTTGAATGCTTAACTATCTTTTCACGATGAAATAAACCTCACTTGGTAATGATATATTATCTTTTTTTTACATATTGTTGGATTGTAAGTGCTAGCATTCGATTGAATATTTTCATATCTATGCTGTGAGGGATATTTCGTCTGTAGTTTTCTTATAATGTCTTTGTTTTTAATATCAGGTAATGCTGAGTTTATAAAATGAGCTGGGTGTCATTCCCTCCCCTTTTATCTTATGGAAAAAATTGTGTATAATTATATTACATTTTTCTGAAATGTTAGGAAAAACGTGTTAGTACAGCCAGCTGGACTTGAAGATTTTTCTTTGAGAATTGTAAGCCACAAATTCAATTTCTTTAATGTATAGTAGCTTATTCAAGATACCTATTTCTTCTTCAGTGAGTATTGCTGCTGTGCCATGTATGACACATGTATGATTTATTTTTATGTTTATAAATGACTAGGAAGGATCTGAAATAATTTTCTAACCTTCATTCCTAAAATTGATAATTTGTGTCTTCTCTCTTTTTATCTTGGCCGATATGGCTAGTCACTATTAATTTATGGACTTTTTTCAAAGGAACAACTCTTTGGTCATTGGTTCTCTCTTTGCTTCTCTTTCATTGTTTTTCCAGTTCATTGTTTTCTTCTGGTATTTTTATTTCCTGGAAATTTTGGGTGGATTCCTGAGAATCAATATTGTAGGCCATTGGTTTTTTTTAAAACACTGTGACCTATAATAACAAATACTTTTTATATCATATTTCATTATGTGCTCAAAAAGCCCATTTACATATAATTAAAACGAACTTTCACAAAACAACACTCAGCCATATTACATGTGAGAAAGTATTTTTTTCAATTCAATTCTATTTTGTTCCAGCCTGGATGAATTCTCTTTTGTTAACAAGAAGCTGATCACAACCTGCTAAACTACCTTCACAGACTACTGATTGTTAGTGACCTGCGGTTTGAAAAGCATTGCTGAACATGATTCTGCTAACAAATCATGTATACAATGCTTGTGAGACCCTCTACTATTTCTTTTTTCCTTTTATTGGTACATAGTGTTTTGCACATTTATGGGGGTACATGTGAGCATTTTTAATGTGCATCGAACATGTAACATCAAGTCAGGGTATTTGGGGTATCCATCATACTGAGTATTTGTCATTTCTGCATGTTGGTAACATTTCAAGTTCTTTCTTCTAGCTACTTTGAAATATACAATATGTTGTTGTTAACTATAGTCATCCTAGTCTGCTATTGAAAATTAGAACTTATTTCCTCTATCTAACTGTAAGTTTGTGCTTCTTCATGAACCTCTTTTCCTTTCTCCCTCCACCCACTCTCACACCCTCCCAAACTCTGGTGTCATATCTACCCGTCTATTGTCTACCTCCAGGAGATCAAGGTTTTTAGTTCCTACATATGAGTAAGAACATGTGGTATTTGTCTTTCTGTGCCTGGATTATTTCACCTGACATAATGACCTTTATTTCCATCCATGTTGCTGCAGATGACATGATTTCATTCTTTCTTATGAACAAATAGTATTTCATTGTGTATATATACCACATTTTCTTTATCCATTCACCCACTGATGAACAATTAGATTGAGTCCATACCTTTGCGATTGTTAAGTATTCCCTTTTCTATACATCCTTGCCAGCATCTGTTTTTATTTATTTATTTTTTGTCTTTTTAGGAATAACCATTCTCATTAGGATGAGATAATATCTCATCATGGTTTTGATTTGCATTTCTCTGATGATTAGAGATGTTGAGCATTTTTTAATATGCTTGTTGGCTTTTGTGTGTCTTCCTTTGAAAATTGTCTATTCATGTCATTTGCCCACTTTTTAATTGAATTATTTGTTTTTTTTTATTGTTGAGTTGTTTGTATTCCTTGCATATTCTGGATATTAGTCCCTGGTTGGATGAATAGTTTGCAACTACTTCCTCCCATTCAACAGTTTGTCTCTTCACTTTGTTAATTGTTTCTTTCACTGTGCAAAAACTTTTTTAGTTTACTATAGTGCTATTTGTCTATTTTTGTGTTAGTTTTCTCTGCTTTTGAGGTCTCAGCCATAAAATCTTTGCCTAAACAAATATCCTGGAGTATTTTCCCTTTGTTTTCTTCTAGTGGTT
Source organism: Homo sapiens (assembly GCF_000001405.40). Taxonomy (NCBI): domain Eukaryota; kingdom Metazoa; phylum Chordata; class Mammalia; order Primates; family Hominidae; genus Homo; species Homo sapiens. The sequence continues at coordinate 143,550,437 of NC_000007.14, forward strand.
TTATAGTTTAAGGTCTTACTTTTAAGTTTTTGATCCATTTTGAATTGATTTTTATATAAGGTGGAAGATAAGGGTCCAGTTTCATTCTTCTGCATGTGAATATCCCATTTTTTTCAGCACTATTTATTAAAGAAGGTATCCTTTCCTCAGTGTATGTTCTGGGCAACTTTGTTGAAAGTCTGTTGGCTGTAAATATGTAGAGTTATTTTTGGGTTTTCTATTCTCTTCCATTAGTTTCTGTGTCTATTTCTATGTCAATACCATGCTTTTTGGTTACTATAACCTTGTACTATATTTTGAAGTCAAGTAGTGTGATGCCTTCTGCTTTGTACTTTTTGCTCAGGATTGTTTTGGTTATACTGGCTCTTTTTTTATTCCATATGAATTTTAGAATTTTGTTTTCTATTTCTGTAAAAAATGACATTGGTATTTTAATAAGGATTTTATTGAATCTGGATATTTCATTGGTCATTTTGACAATATTGATTCTTCTGATCCATGAGCATGGGATGTCTATTTGTTTATGTCTTCTTTAATTCATTTTAACAGTGTTTTACAGTTTTTCTTGTAGAGATCTTTTACCTGCTTGGTTAAATTTATTCCTAGGTATTTTTTTTTTTTGGTAGCAATTGTAAATGGGATTGTCTTCTTGATTTCTCTTTTGGCTGTTTTATTATTGGTTATAGAAATGCTACTGATTTTTATATGTTGATTTTATATTTTTCAACTTTATTGAATTTGCTTATCATTTTTAGGTGGAATCTTTTTTTTCTAAATATAAGATTATTTCATGTGCAAAGAGAGACAATTTGACTCCCTCTTTTCCAATTTGAATGCCTTTTATTTTTTACTCTTGTCTGATTTCTCTGTCTAGGGGAAATAGTATTTTTAGCATTATGTTGAATAGGAGTAGTGAAAGTGAGCATCCTTGTCTTGTTCTAGTTCTTAGAGAAAAGGTTTTCAACTTTTTGCCATTCAGTATGATGTTGGCTGTGGGTTTGTCATATATATGGCCTTTATTATTTTGAGGTATGTTCCCTCTATACCTAGTTTGTTGAGAGTTTTTATAATGAAATGATGTTGAATTTTATCAAATGCCTTTTCTGCATCTATTGAAATGATCATATAGTTTTTGCCCTTCATTCTGTTCATGTGATGTGTCACATTTATTCATTTGCATATGTTAAACCGTCCTTGTATCCCTGGGATGAAACCCACTTGCTCATGGGGTACTATCTTTTTGACATGCTGTTAAATTCATTTTACTAGTATTTTGTGGAGAATTTATGTGTCTATGTTCATCAGGGGTATTGGTCTGTAGTTTTCTTTTTGTGTGTGTGTACTTGTCTGGTTTTGGTATCAGGGCAATGCTCACCTCCTAGAGTAAGTTAGGGAGAATTCCACGTTGTTTGATTTTTTGGAATAGTCTGAGGAGGATTGATATTAGTTCTTTATAGAATTTGAAAGTGAGTCCATCTTGTCCTGTGCTTTTCTTTGTTGGGAGTCTTTTTATTGCTGATTTAATGTCACTACTCATTATTGGTTTGTTCAAGTTTTCTATCTTTTCCTGATTCAATCTTGGTAGTTTGTATGTTTCCAGGAATGTATCTATTTTATCTAGGCTTTCCAGTTTATTAGTGTATAGTTACTCATAATAATCTCTGATGATCTTTTATGTTTCTTTGGTATCAGCTGTAATGTCTCCTTTTTTATTTCTAATTTTGTTATTTAGTCCTTCTCTCTTATTTTCTTGGTTAGTCTAGCTACAGGTTTGTCAGTTGTGTTTATCTTTCTGAAGAACTTTTTGTTTTAATGATCCTTGTCTTTTAGTCTCTATTTTATTTAGTTCTCATCCTATCTTTATTGCTTCTTTTCTTCTGCTAATTTTGGGTTTGGTTTGTTCTTCCTTTTCTATAATAATTCTTTGAGGTGCATCATTACATTGTTTAATTGAAAACTTTCTACTTCTTTTGATGCAGATGTTTATTGGTATAAATTTCCCTCTTAGTACTGCTTTAGTTGTATTCCACAGATTTTGGCATCATGTGTTTCCATTTTTATTTGTTTCAATAAATGTTTTTATTTCCATTTTTATTTCTTCAGTCAGGACCATGTTGTTTTATTTTTAGGTATTTGTATAGCTTCCAAAGTTGTTCTTTGTATTAATTTTTGGTTTTATTCCACTGTTGTATGGGAAAATACTTAATATAATGTCAAGTTTTAAGAATTTGTTGAGACTTCTTCTTTTGTGGCTGAAAATATGATCTATCCTGAAAAATGTTCCACATGCTGAGTAGAAAAAAATGCGTATTCTGCAGTTGTTGAATAATATGTTCTGTAGGTGTGTCTGTTAGGTCCATTTGTTCTATAGTCCAGTTAAATTCAATATTTTTTAGTTGATTTTACATCTAGATGACCTGTCTAATGCTTAGAGTGGGGTGTTGAAGTCCCTCACTGTTGTTGTACTGGAATTTATCTCTCTCTTTAGTATTGGGGGAACCAACCCCTGATAATTCATCATAGGTTCTTTTCTATTTTCCCTAAGTGTCGGCTGGTCTGAGAAATAAAGGGAAAGAGTACAAAAGAGAGAAATTTTAAAGCTGGGTGTCAGAGGGAGACATCACATGTCGGCAGGTTCCGTGATGCCCCCTGAGCGGTAAAACCAGCAAGTTTTTATTAGCAATTTTCAAAGGGGAGGGAGTGTACAAATAGGGTGTGGGTCACAGAGATCACATGCTTTAAGGGCAACAAAAGATCACAAGGCAGATGAGCAGGGCAAGATCACAAGTTCAGGGCAAAACTAGAATCACTAATGAACTTCCATGTCCTGCTGTGCACCCACTGTCACTGATAAACATCTTAACAGGGTTCAAGAGCAGAGAACTTGTCTAACTAGAATTTGCCAGACTGGAATTTCCTAATCCTAGCAAGCCTGGGGGCGTTGCAGGAGACTAGGGCGTGTTTCATCCCTATCTACATCTGCATAAGGCAGACACCCCCAGAACGGCCATTTTAGAGGCCCCCCTGGAAATGCATTCTTTTCCCAGGGCTGTTAATTATTAATATTCCTTACTAGGGAAAGAATTCAGCGATATTTCTCTTACCCGTTTTTGGTAAGGAGAGAAATATGGCTCTGTCCTGCCCGGCCCACAGGCAGCCAGACTTTAAGGTTATCTCCCTATTTCCCTGAAAATCACTGTTATCCTGTTCTTAAGGTGCCCAGATTGCATATTGTTCAAACACACATGCTCTACAAACAATTTGTGCAGTTAAAGCAATCATCACAGGTCCTGAGGCGACATACATCCCCAGCTTACAAAGATGATGGGATTAAGAGATTAAAGACAAGACAGGCATAGGAAATCACAAGAGTTTTGATTGGGGAAGTGATAAATGTCCATGAAATCTTCACAATTTATGTTCAGAGATTGTAGTAAAGACAGGCTTAAGAAATTATAAAAGTATTAACTTGGGGAACTAATAAATGTCCATGAAGTCTTCACAATTTATGTTCTTCTGCCATGGCTTCAGCCAGTCCCTCCAGTCGGGGTCCCTGACTTCCCACAACACTTTAGATCTAGTAATATTTGCTTTATGAATCTGGGTACTGCAATGCTAGGTGCATGTATATTTAAAATTATTATATCTTCTTGCCGAATCGATCTGTTTATCATTATATAATGACCTTCTTTGCCTTTTCTTACTATTTTTGACTTAAAGTCTCTTTTATCTGATATAAGTAAATCAACTTCTGCTCACATTTGGTTTAGGTTTGCATGGTATATCTTTTTCAATCCTTTTTCTTTCAGTCTGTGTGTGTCTTTACAAGTAAAATGTGTTTCTTGTAGGCAGCACATAGTTGGATCATATATACTTCTTTTAATCAATTAAGCCAGTCTGTATCTTTTAAGTGGAGAATTTAATCAATTTACATTTAAGGTTATTATTGATATGCGAAGTTGTTTTTTTTTTTTTTTTTTTTTTTTTTTGACAAGAGTCTCACTCTGTTGCCCAGGCTGGAGTGAAGTAGCATGATATCGGCTCACTGCAACCTTCGCCTCCCAGGTTCAAGTGATTCTCCTGCCTCAGCCACCCAAGTAGCTGGGATTACAGGCACGTGCCACCACGCCTGGCTAATTTTTGTATTTTTTTTTAGTAGAGATAGGGTTTCACCATGTTGGCCAGACTGGTCTCAAACTCCTGACTTCAGGTGATCTGCCCGCCTCAGCCTCCCAAAGTGCTGGGATTACAGGCATGAGCCACCACACCTGGCCAGATGTGAAGTTTTGTTTCTGTCATATTGTTCATTGTTTTCTGGTTGTTTTGTATATTCTTCATTCCTTTCTTTTTCTTTTATTGTTTGTCATTGTGGTTTGGTAGTTTTGTATGGTGGTACTGTGTGAGTTCTTTCTCTTCCTCATTTGTGTGTTTGTTTTACCAGTGAGTTTTATACTTCGTTGTGTTGTTGTGATGGTAAATGCTGTCTTTTTCTTCCAGGTTTAGGACTGCCTTGAGCATTTCTTGGAGGACCAGTTAAGTGGTGATGAATTTTCTCAGCTTTTGCTTCTTTGGGAAAGACTTTTTTATTTCTCCTTCATTTATGAAGGATAATTTGCTGGAAATAGATCCTTTGTTGGCAATATATATATTTTTTTCTTAGCCCTTTGAATATATCATCTCATTCTTTCCTGGCAGAAAGGCTTCTACTGAGAAATTCACTGTTAGTCTGATGGGGGTTCCTTTAAAGGTGACTATATGTTTTTTCTTGCTGTTTTTAGAATTCTTTCTGTGTATTTTACTGTAGACATTTTGACTGTAATGTTTCATGAAAACTTTTTTGCATTGTATCTGTTTGGGGATCTCAGAGCCTGTTGTATCTAGATGCCTTAATCTCTTGCTAGATTTGGGAAGTTGTTATGTATTGTTATGTTGAATAAGTTTTCTAATCCTTTTGTTCTCTCTCTGCCTTCTGAGACCCCAGTAATTCAAAATTTGGCCACTTTATGGTGTTTCATATACTATGAAGAATTTGCCTATTCTTTTTTCTGTATTTTTGTTGGGCTGTGTTATTTCAATAGACTTGCTTTCAAGTTCTGAGATTCTTTCTTCTGCTTGATCTAGTCTATTTTTGTTGAAGCTTTTGAATATATTTTGTATTTCATTAAATGAATTCTTCAGTTTATGAATTTCTGGTTGGCTATTTTTTTATTATCTCTATCTTTGGCAAATTACTCATTCATATCCTGAATTGTTTTTCTGATTTCTTTGTAATTTTTCAGAAATTTCTTGTATTCCACTGAGCTTCTTTAATATTCAAATTTTGAATTCTTTTCCCATGATTTCATTCATTTGTTTTTTATTGTAATCTATCGCTGGAGAGTTATTCTGTTCCTTTGGAGGTGTATATTTCCTTGATTTTTCATGTTTCTTGTGTTCTTACATTGATATTGACATATCTGAAATAATATTAGTTTCTTCCAACTTGTTGAATTTGCTTTTATAAAGGAAAACTTTCTTGAAGATGTATCTATGGTGTTTGTTGGGTAGAATGTTTTGGGTTTGATTCTGGGTGCATGCAGTAGTGTAGCTTTCAACAGCATCAGTGGTATCTGTGATCTCCTTGGTGGCTTAGGGTACAGCTGGAAACTGTGGTGAAGTTCTGCTGGGGACTGGGAAGCCAAGTAGGCCAGTTTTCCAGCACCATTGGTACCAGTGTTGGGCTGAGCATGCCTGTTCTTGGGCACCGGGGGGCAGTGTAAACTGGCACTAGTATTAGTGGGTACAGTCAGGCTAACCCTTGGGCCTTCTGGAAGCTTACTCATATGCTGGTAGTGGCAACTTTGGGCAAGGTGGGTGGCAGGTTCTTGGACCTCTAGGCAACCAGTATGGCATGGGCAAAGGTAGAGTCAGTGGCAGAACAATCCTCTGGGTCTTGAGAAGTATGTGCTGGTGTTGGTGGTGGCTGCAATGGGCTGCATGGGCCAGTCTTTAGGCTTGCAGGTGGCACATGCAGATAAGTGCCAGTTGTGGTATTCTCATTTTGGTGAGTAGGCCCCTGGGAGGAGTGTTTAGGTTCCGATGGTGGTGAACCAAGTTGGGAAATCCCCTGGCCCCTAGACTATGTGCTCTTTTATGGAGAGGGGGTAAATCTGGGTCAGATGAGCTTGTCCTCAGGCCTCCAGTGGCGTGTGGAGGAGCCACCCAAGGTACAAAGGGGTTGGGTGATCCGCAGGCCACTGGTGGAATGCTTGCATTGGGGGAAGAAACAACTGTGCTGTTATCCTGCCACTGGGGAGGGTAGTTCTGCCTTCATTGGCAACAGCATAGGCCAATGGATGGGGAATGTGTGCACCACTTGCACCTCAGTCCCAGCAGCACTGCACCTTAGCCCCAGGTGTGATAGCCCAGGGTCACTCACGCCTAGATCTTGGGGACACAGCCTGCACTTCTCTTGAGCCCCAGCTCCAGCACTGCTGGACTCCAAGACAGCATATAGTTTGTTGGGCCTCTACTATTTCTTGATCCATGACATTGATAAAAATTAAAAACAACTTGGATAGGACACATGGTCTAGACTCACAGCATATTCCAAGAAATCTCTCACCAGGTTCAAACAAAGTCATTAATTTCTTCATTAATTTAACAAATATTGAGCCATTACCTATGTGCCAGGTATCAATTTAGATACTGGGGATATAGCAGTGAACAGCACAGATAAAGTATTTGATCTATGAAGTTTCTATTTTAGTGGGTAAAAACAGTCAATAAACAAAATATACAAATAAATATGTCAAGTGACGATAAGTGCCATGAAGAGAAAGAAAGTAGGATAAAGAGAGACATGGGAATGCCACACTATTTTATTTGGGATGGTTAATGACTATTTCTATGAAAAGGTAATATTTGAGCAAAGAACTGAAGGAGTGAGATATATATGGGGAAACCATATTCCAAACAGAGGGTACAGCAAGTGCAAAGTCACTGAGGAAGTGTCATGCTTGAAATTTGAAAGGATTGCAGCTGGGGAGGGGAATGGTAGAGATGAGTTTAGAGAAGCAGCAGTGTCCAGGCCGCAGATTCTTCTACAAGCCATGGAAATGACAGATTTTACACTGAGAGAGAAGGGAGCTATTGGAAGTGTTCTGCAGCTGAGTTATATGACTTGACTTACACTTTAAAAGAATCATTCTGACTGCTGTGGGGAGAACAGACTATGGGGGGTAATATGGTAGCAGGAAGATCAATTAAGAAACTCTTGCAAAAGTCCAAGCAAAGGATGATGGTGACCTGGATTAGGGAGATAACAATACAGAGGTAGAGAAGATATTAAGTTCTCTACGTACTTAGAAGGAAAAGCTGACCAATTTTCCTGATAAATTGTATGGACTGCAAAAGGACAGAAGCCAACCCCTATTCTCTATCGTTCCATTTTATATGTTTTTATAGCTTTTGTTACCATTTATAATTATATTATGTATTTTTTGCCCACTTATTGATTGTCTTCCTTAACCAGTAAAGTAGTATTCCACGATATCAGAAACTTCACCTATCTCGTTCACAACCAAATTTCAGCACCTAGAAGAGTACCTGGTACACAGCAGGTGCTCAATAAGTATTTGTTTGTATGGATGAGTGAAAAGAAAGGGATTTGGCATCTATGATGAGCCCTTAATATATTTCTACCCTTCCCACTCTAATCCTACTTCTGGGAATCTATTTTGAAGAAATTTCACAAAGGCAAAAACTTATCCCAATAGATACTCATCAAAGCAACCTATTCTTACAGTGGAAAATTAAGCACATTCTAACAGTTCAATAGGAGGAGAATTTGGGACACTTCCCAAAAGGTTCAAAGAAGACATTGCCCACTTTTGGGACAGGATGGTCAATGGTTAGAAACAGTCTGCTCTGCCAGGGCTTAAGCACCCAGAGATCAGTAGACTCATGGGCACTGGGTTATGCCAGCTAGATGGCAGGGTTATGTTAATTCATTTCAAACCATGCATTCTAATTACAAACTCTTAAAATCTCAAGGGTTTAATTTAAAAAGTTTTACAGCAGGCTTTGTACCAGTTCCTGGGGCCTCATTATTGTCAGCTCTCCTCACCACAGGCCTATGTGGCGGGAGTTTAGGGAAAAGAGAGAGAAGACTATGGGGAAAAGAGGGGAAAGAGAAGCGTATATGATTGAAAAGCCCAAAGGAAAGTGGGAGTAGAAGTTTAATTAAAACACAGCTGGGCAGTTTGCATCAGTGAGTTTAACCCTGAGAAGGAAAACAGGCTTAGGAAATGCCATATGAATGTGGGTATGCTTGCCCCCCAAAGAGCTAACATTTACAATAGACATTGCAGTACAGCCATGGCAGGTACTCAGCACCTTTCTGTGTGCAAGCATGAACATATTGAAATGTACAATTTTACTAATTAAAGACCCCCTTTAGTCTACTGACAGAGTATAAAAAATAAATAAAATATAACCCCATTTTTTTTCTCCCCAAAGATAGAATTATTTTTTAACTTGCACTGCAAAATTCTGAATTCTAGCACTCAATCTTAAGTATATTTACTCTCAAAGCAAAGAATTTCTGAACTGAAAGGTACTTAAGGCATTTTGACTCTTCATTTTTCAAATAAGGAAAACAATGCTCAGAGAGTATCTCAACATAGTAAAGAAAGGAAGAAGATGCTGTATCTTTCCTGATCTCTACTTAAGCTCTCTCTTCACTGTTCTGCACTATTTTCTAGTTATTTCTGGGATTATTTATTCAACAAACACTGAGCCTTCTAGTGCAATGCACTGGTTAACCATGGGGAAAAGTGCACACAAAGATGAAACAGGAATAAATTCTATCTTCTGGAGTTGTATACTCTGGATGTAAATGTTCTTATATTCATTCTTTCTCTCTTTTCCTCTGCCTGCTTCTAAAAAGAACTTGAGGTGATCAAGCTTTAGACCATTATATATTTAAGATGCTGAAAAGATTTCATTCAACAATGCTTTTTGCATCAATAATAATTTTATTCACTATTAGTCAGACATATTTTTTCTTCACTTTAAGTCCTCTCCTTGACTTTCTGTAAGTACCTTAGAAATTTCCAAGTAAGTGTCATTTGCTTTGCCTATTGAAGTCAAATTATGTTATGTGTTTGAATTACAACTTGAAGGGGGCTATGCTTTTAGTAGCTCATTTTTTGTGTTCAAATGCAAAAATTATTGAAATTATTCTATGCTTGTATTCTATGATTGCTTATTCTGAGTTCCATTTGCCTCTTCTTAAGAAATCATTGTTGTCTAGAGAATGAAAAAAGACAGGTCATATTAGTAAATCAATATTTATATTCAAGAAAAAGATCTAAAATATTTTTTAAAAGAACTATTCTCATATAAAAATAAATCATCTCTGATAATATGTTTTCTAAAAGAGTTTGGCTTTTATGTTTATGCAAGACTGACTTCCTGCCAAGCCTTCACTCCAAGATATGTCACAGTGGAGGGTCCCAGTGTTTCCCCTTGTCACTTTATAGGATTAGTTCGGTCCACTGTCATTCGGCTAAAATGCCTTGTATCTCTGGTTAGTGTGAAGCCCATAACTAAGCCCAAGTATTGGTTCTTTAAACTTTATAAAGTGGCTCTTCCATTCACTCTCAGGTTGTACCATTCATCATACCTTCAATGGCTGGGGAAAACGTACTGTCTCTTTATGGTCTTTTTAATGCTCTGCAAAGTGATTTGTTAAAGGAAGGGTTTTGAAAGAAGTATTGTCCTTTTGGCTTAAAGTTTATAGTTTTTCAGCACTTACTATAAAAGGAACACATCCACAACCACATTTTTTTTTCTACAGGTAAAGGAATGGAATGTTTAGTCTGAAAGCTTAGAAGGAAGATGAGGTGCAGCATGAAGACAAAAGCAAAATCGGAAAGCTAAAACAGTAAGAAAGGAGACAAAAATCCGAGATGAATTGTAGCAAAGTGATATATTTATCATTATCCCAGAATATATAAATTTCTTTTTTTACCAGATTAAGTCTTTTGAAATGTTCCAAAAACATGAGAATCTAAAACTGATTCTCACTCTTGATTTCAACAACTAATATTTCATGAGTTTCTGCCTCCTCTTGGTGAATTTTTTCAAACTAACAGTTCCACATGGCACTTTTTCATCGCATGCAGGGATCACAACACAGGCACCTTTATCTTCACAATAAATGGATACTGAACTTTGAAAAATAATTTAGACCGTTGTGAGCCAAGTAGGACCCAATACAAACGGGAAAATGTAGGTACTATTTGGGCTTCCAGAAATTTCAAGAATTGGGTGGCATTCTTGGAGAAAAAGGCTCTCAGGTTATCCTGAGGATACCGCAGGTGTGTTTTATCTGGTGTATCACTCAGGGATCTTGTTAGCAATCAACCAAAAGGAAAGCCTCGGTTAACTCTGCAAGGTAGGAATTTATTAGATGTGATTTGGATTGCTCTCATAATTGGTAGAGTATGTGGAGAAACAAACCTGACCACCAGGAACTAGGATCTGGATGTTCAGAAATACAGTCAAAATTACGCCACCAGAATTGGTTATAATGCTATTGCTATGGCCACTGGCCACTGAATGCCACTAACAGAGTTAATTCCATACACTCACACCTTCCTAGTGTCATCTGCAGAAGATTCAATGGCCTCGTGGACTTGAACTGACTACAGTCTAGCTACACGGGTTGAGGGGAAGGAATATATGTATTTGGCATTTTTAGCTAGTGCACTGGCTAAAAATAGGAAGGGCCTATCTTCCATTAAGAATCTGACTGTTTTAGGAGGCCCCCAGACAGAATTAGGATCCAAATGCTTGAGCAGCCAAAAAAGAAAAAGAAAACTAAAAATGCCCCCTTTTCTGGTTAAAATTAAACTAAATCAAGTGAGTTGAGAGCAGATAGGCAGTCTGTATTATTCTAGTCAAATCTGCACTTTTTCATCCATAGAAAGTTTTGAACTATGAATTATTAATAATAAGCCTTTTGTTAATATAGGTACATCCCAGATACCAAAGATATATTCGGAAGTAAGGTGCCATTACTGGGGGAAAATCCCAGATATTTTGCCATTTAAAAACAATCTCGGGCTGGGTGTGGTGATTCATGCCTGTAATCCCAGCACTTTGGGAGGCCAAGGCAGGTTCATTGCTTGAGTTCAGGAGTTTGAGACCAGCCTGGGCAACATGTGAAACCCTGTCTCTACCCAAAACAGGAAAATTAGCCAGGCGTGGTGGCACATGCCTGTGATCCCAGCTACTCAGGAGGCTGAGGTAGGAGGGTCACTGAAGCCTGGGAAGTCAAGACTGCAGTGATCTGTGGTCACATCACTGCACTCCAGCCTTGGTGACAGAGTAAGACCCTGTCTCAAAACAAAACAAAAACACCAAAATACTCTGAGCTAACCAAATTTCTTTAAAAGAAAAATATGCATTTTTTTACACATAAGTTTCTTAAAAGTCAAGCATAGAACAAACTTCAAATCCAAATGAGTTGATAGAAAATTAGTTTGTCAGGCTGACTTATGGATCACATTCTATCCAAATGGTTTCTCTTGTAAACTACTTTATAATTTTATGTAATATTAAATTTAGTTTACTTCCCCCCCTTTCCAACACATAAGTCATAATCTCTCTCCCCATACTGCATTATTTACATCAATGTAAAAATACTCTCTAGTATCTCATCACCTTAAAAAATAAGCTCTTCTCTGGGTCCTTTATCCCTCTAGTTATCCCTTGATTTCTCTGCTTCCTTATCAAGAACAATGATCAAAAGCATTTTGAACATGAGATTTCTCAAGTTCCTCACTTCCCTGATCTCCTCAACCCACCCTAAGTCGCTTTCCAACTCATCTGCCACGTTACCTTGTCAAGGTTACCAGTAGTCCCATGTGGATAGATTTCAAGGTTACTTTTTCATCTTTATTTATATGATTTTTCTATCAGCATTCAATAACATATGAATGTTGACATCTCGATCTCACTCCTTCCCACTCCCTCCCCCCAAAAAAACTTCTCTCCCACAGCTATGTGATGCTATAATAAGCTTGAGCTTTCCTCTTATCTCATGGAGCTAGTCTTCCAAATCTCTCTCTCTCTCTTTTTTTTTTTTTTTTTTTTTTTTTTGCCTCAAACTGTTGGTTTGCAGCATTCTCAATGTTCTTTTTCTGAGATTTCAATTTGGCCTAAAGCTTTGAATACCATCTATTTTCTGATGACTTCTAAATTTATATTTGCAGACCTGACCTCTGCTCTGAAGTCTAGATTCATCTATTAAACTGCCTATCTAATATCTTCTCTTCATTCTGTACCCCAAACCTCTAAAGTCTAGACTCATATCTCAAACTGTCTAGCTATTTTCTCTTCATCCCGTACCCTCATTTTCCATTATCTCAGTTAAAGTTCTGAAAAACACTGATGGCTCAAGCCAAAAGCCTAGGTATCATCCTTGATCTTTGTTTACCTGTCCCTATCACATCCAATTCATCAACTAAGTCTATTAGATCCACCCTCAAATTATAAAGGATCATATTTTCCAAATATTATGACTTTTATTTATTTCTGTCCAGTTTATTTTTCTTGTCTTAATGCACTGATAAGGACCTCTATGAGTATGTTGAAGGTAACACTGAGAGTGAACATTCTTTTGTTTGTGAATTTAATGTGAATGCATCTGACTTTTTACAGCTGAGTATAATGCTTGCCGAAGGTTTCTGGTAGATATACTACTTCTTATAGGAAGTTTATTTCTATTTTACTATGCTGCTAATGTTTAACCATCATCGGGACTTGGATTTTTTCAATTTATTTTTTGGCATGAGCATAAATTTTTTTTTCTTGTAATCTGTGAATTCAGAGAACGAATAGATGTATTAGGAATACATTATCCTTGCATTCCTGAGACTTATCTGTTTCCCCCATCTGCTCCCTCTGGACTTGCAAGACCTCTTGTGGTCATTCTTGTTCTTTGCAGCACTTTGTTCTGGGCGAGTTCTTGGTTTTCTTTTACCATGTGATACCATCTCTCTAGATCTTTTACGGGGAGCCTGCCTTCTGTTTTTTTAAAGCTGTGTTAGAGTTTTAGAAAAGATCTGTCTTTCTAGTAATGGACGGCGAAGTTGAAGAGGCTGGAGCCTGTGCTTTGGGTGCCATCTTGAGGAGAGTCAGGAAAAGACTCGAGTTATATAAAGACACTTGGGGATCTTCCAATTTAGAGGAATGCCCTTGATCCAGAGTGTAGTGACAAAGCAGGACAAGGTGAGGTGATAATTCAGAGAAAAGTGTCTCCAAAATTAATGTTGGCTGAGTTCAAGTGAGGAGAGAGAAGAAACAGGCATGGTAAGAGATGAAGACAAGGACCGTACAATGTCAAGGGCCAAGAAATTTAATTAAAAGCTAATTATTTCCTCTGAAAGTTTTCATCATCGTCCCCCACAAAAATATTGCTAAAAATATTCCCATAAGTTCTGATTCTTGCATGTATAAATGGGGAAAAGGGGACCATTGCAAAGTTTCCTCTTATTCAATCTGATGACCAATATCACCCAAAGTTTTATAGCTGGTTACAAGACAGAAAAAAATTGGGGAGATATTAAAGTCATATTGCAACTTCTTTCTAGAATAATAAAAGGATTTCTTTGATTTCAGTAAATATCATAGGCCTCTGTAGGAGTTTGGTCTGGTTTTCCTTTCTGCTCTAACAAGACAGCACTGAGTTCAATGCCTCACAATTGCTGTATTCTTCCTTCCCCAGCACCTAGAGACGCTCTCTGCACCACGCCATGATTGCTGAAGGGTGCAGGAGGGGTGGCATACTTGATTTAGGACTGTTTTTTTTCTATCTCTTCAGTGCTTGTTTCAGCCATATGAAGTTAAAACCAGGTACTATGAGGGCTCACCGGATTTTTGGTTCGTATGAAGGTATTTTTTCTGTGTAGATAGTTGTTAACCTGGTGTCCTTGTGGTGGCAGGGCAGACTATCAGTGGAGCCTTCTATTCCGCTATCTTGCTTTGCCTCCTCCCCTCTGGAAAACTAATTTTTAAAAAATCAATTCTCGGCCGTGCACAGTGGCTCATGCCTGTAATCCCAACACTTTGGGAGGCCGAGGTGGGTGGATCACAAGGTCAGGAGTTGAAGACCAGCCTGGCCAATATGGTGAAACCTTGTCTATACTAAAAATACAAAAATTAGCTGGGCATGGTGGTGGGTACCTGTAGTCCCAGCTACTCGGGAGGCTGAGGCAGGAGAATCACTTGAACCCAGGAGGTGGAGGTTGCAGTGAGCCAAGATCGTGCCACTGCACTCCAGCCTGGGCGACAGAGCGAGACTCCACCTCAAAAAAAAAAAAAAAAAAATTCAAGTCTCCACTAATTGATGTATATTCTTAAAAAATTACTTAGAATCAAAATCTCAACAGGGTTTTTCATTATTGTAGTTGTTTACTCACTTGTTTTAGTGGAATGCAACAAGCTGGTTTAAAAATTTAAATGGAAGCACAAACAACCAAGAATAATTGTGTGTTCTTGACAAAAACTAAGGTAGAATAATTAGCAAGATTTATTATGAAGATATTACAATAGTATAGCATTGGCATAGAGATGAAGAAAAAAAATAGAAAAGAATAGAGAGCCTGCAAAGAGATCCACACAGATCCAGACTTTTGGCCCCGTAGATGAGGCAGAAAGAGTGAACCTTTCAATGAACAGTGCTATAATTAGGAATCCATATTTTAAAAAAACTACAGTTGTATTCCTAGTTCACTATGCCCAAAACTCATTTAAACTTAAAAATTTATACAACTCTTTGAAGATAATATAGAAAAATCTCTTTGTGGAATTTGGGTAAACAATTTTTTTTACTCATGGTACAAATAGTATTAATCATAAAAAAGATTAATAACTTTGACTACTTTAAAATTAAGAAGTTGTGTTTATTAAAATACACCACAAGAAGAGTGAAAATTGGCCCAGAGTGGGAAAAGCTGTTGGCCACACATGTAACTGACCAAGTTCATATATCTAAAACATTGTGACATACAGAAAATCCGATAGAAAAATACACAAGAAAATGGAATGAGCACTTCAAAATAAAAGCAAAAATCAAATGTTTAGTTAATATATGCAAAGCTGCTTAACATCATTAGTAATGAGGAAAATGCAAATGAAAACCACAATAATATATTACTATGCACTCATCACTTTGGAAAAAAATGTATCTCATAATATCAAGTGTTCCTAAGGATCTAGAGCAATGGAAACTCATATACTCTAAGTGATATGATTTTGACTTGTCTTTATCTACAGCTTGGTTTTATCTAAGAAGGTTGAAGCTATGCATATTCTACGATACAGCAATTCCTTTCCTAGGGTATGCCAGAGAAACTCTCGCCCAGATATACATGTAAAGGATGTTTGTAGTATCAGATAGGCCCCAAATAAAAACAATCAAAAACCAATCAGCAGCAAAATAGATTAACTGATTGTATTATAGTTATATAATTGAGTATTAGGCAGAAAGAAAAATGAAGTAGAGCTACACAAATCAACACAGACGATGTCACAGTATTGCACTAAAGAAGCAAGCCATAAAAGATTACATAAAATATAACTTTCTTGTATTCTTATACAGTTTAAAACAAGTTAAAACTAAACTATGTAGTTTAAGTTTGTGCACATAGGTAGTAAAACTAAAGGAGCAAAAGGAATGATCACAGAAGTCAGATTAGTGTTCCATCTGGTGGTAGGAGAGGGACAATGAACTTGGAGGAACATATGGAGGACTTCAATTATTGGCAACATTCTATTTCTTAATCTGTTGCTGATCTGATTGTTCCCTTTATAATTATTATTTAAATTGTACATATGCTTTTAGATACATTTTTTGTGAGCAGGTAATAGAAACTAAACTGAAACAAGTAGAAGCAAAAAAAAAAAAAAAAAAAAAAAAAGCAGTTTATTGATTAAGGAAACAAAAATGTCTAGATGTTGACCTGGAGCTTTAATCAGTACTATATCTAGATTCTTTAACAATATCCCTAGGGGTATCGCTCTTTGCCTTTGATTTGTCATTTATGTGTGTGTGTATGGTAGGGGTGGGGGTGGGTGGTGATGGTGCTTATTGTCCATCAAGCTCTCTTTGTGTGAAGATAATATTACAAGGCAATTCCAGGCTTAAATGGTTTGTAGAAATCATTATCTCAGAAAGAAAGAAATTATTTCTCCATTAATGCCTTTATCACTCATCTGGACACTGACTGGCTATACTTAGGTCGTTTGAACATTCATAGTCAAGTCTTGAGGTCCAGGGCATGGAATGCTAAGACTGGCCATCTGTAGTCACACCTACTCTGATGATGAGAATGGTGGGGTCCCTTGGTTGTCAGCCCCATTTCAATCAGAGAGAAAGTAAAGGCAGCTCTCAGAATAAAGATTCATAGAACAGATGAAAAAGCAAAAAAGGCCACTAAAGGAAAGTGAATTTATATATATATTTTTTCACTTTAAGCATATCTTGGGCTCTTGCAATTAGGAAAAGAATAGCTATGATGCTGTGTTCTCTCAGTTAAGGACACTGGTTCTGGAATTCAATGATCTGTTTCACATTCTTGCTCTACCACTTATTCGTTTTTCATTTTGAAATTTAGTTTTCTTCACGTGTCGCTGAAGATTAATTATGAGTATGTGGCTTAGTAATGCGCATTCATCATGGACTTGCAGTGACACTGATCCTTCAGCACAGAATATCCTGGCACACGTTCCTGACCAAAAAGCAGCCATTTGTGGGGCACAAGCCAATATTTATTGCATATTCTTGCCTTGGTCTATCTTTCTGATACTAACACCAAATTTTCTAGGATAGAAGACTTCTTACTCTCAGGAAGTAGTTTGTTTCTCAAAGAGAAAACATGGGGTGTTCAGTTGGCTGTGTGGCTGCTCCCATCTGTAGAGGTGAGGTGGATGTACGTAGTCTTCTATGCTGACAGAATAATTCAAAAGAATGCTTTGAAGGTAAATATATAAATCAGTACACTCCCCCAACTCAATACCTTCATGAAATGTATCTTCATGAAGTCTGCCTATTACATTAAAGCTTTTTTTTTCTTTGACAGAGTTTCACTCTTGTTGCCCAGGCTGGAGTGCAATGGTGCGATCCTGGCTCACTGCAGCCTCTGCCTCCTGGGTTGAAGCGATTCTCCTGTCTCAGCCTCCTGAGTAGCTGGGATTACAGGTACCTGCCACCACATCTGGCTAATTTTGAATTTTTAGTAGAGACGGGGTTTCTCCAATTTGGTAAGGCTGATCTCGAACTCCAGACCTCAGGTAATCTGTCTGCCTTGCCCTCCCAAAGTGCTGGGATTACAGGTGTGAGTCACCATGCCCGGCCTACATTAAAGTTTTAATTTCCAGGAAGACACTCCGACTTGAAGCAGAGTGATATAGTTTGGATACGTCCCCACCAAATCTAATGTTAAATTATAATCCCCAATGTTGGAAGTAGGGCCTAATGGTAGGTGTTTGGGTCATGGAGGTGGATTGCTCATGGCTTGGTGCTATCCTCACCATAGTAAGTGAGTTCTCAGAGATCTGGTCATTTATAAATGTGTGTAGCACTTCCCCCTGACTCTCTCTTTCTTGCTTTTGCTCTGCCTTGTGAGATGTCTGTCTGCTCCCACTTTGACTTCTGCCATGAGTAAAACCTTCCTGAGGCCTCATCAGAGGCTGAGGAGATGCTCCCTGTACAGTTTGCAGAACCATAAGCCAATTCAACTTCTTTTCATTGTAAATTACCAGTATCAGGTATTTCCTTCTTCCTTTCTTTTCTTTGTTTTTGTGGGCGGAGTGGGGAGGTGGGACAAGGTGCTGATTTTAAAAGATAAACAGGAGTTTTCCTGTTATAGAAAGAAGGCAAAACCATTTCAGGAAACCCTGTTATAGAAAGAAGGCAAAACCATTTCAGGAAACCCTGTTATAGAAAGAGGGCAAAACCATTTCAGGAAGAAAGAGTAGTATTTGTAAATGCACAGAAATATGAACTGTGGTGAAATGTTCTGAAAACGATCATCAGTTTGGAATTGCGGGAGAAGGGGTGCAAAGATGGGAACCTGGAACTTGAGGCAGGAGGTGAAGGCAGACCCAGATGATGAGAAGGTTGGCAACAGGAATTTACTGAAGGATTCTACCTGAAGGCAACAGGAATTTACTGAAAGGTTTTAAGCTGAAATTTATGGTTAATTTGGCAGTATTCTGGGAGACAGCTCAGTTGGGATTGTGGCTAGAGGTAGGGAAACTAGTGAGGAGGCTTCTGGAACAGTCCAGGTGAGAGGTGCTGAGGACTTGAACTTTGACCGTGGGGATAAGAATGGAGGCTGAGGAGTTAGGGAGGTGTTTGCCTGGTGTGGACTCAAGTCTCAGACTGCAGAGCAATGGACGTCCACACAGAAGGCAGTGAAGAGAGTCTATTTCCAGGGGCTTTGAAATGAGCTTGAATGTCAGACTTCTGGCTGACACTATGACTGTCTCATGCAGACCTTCAGACAGATTACTTACTAATAAGGAAAATGGTATAGTCTGAAAGTAATCTCAGGCTCTTTGGAATTATGAAGACAGGGCAAAAGTCAAGAGATGGTATGTTTTTGTGCCAAAGACATGGAGGTCTAATGCTGAACCTGAGTTTCAGGTCTGCCCTTTCTAATCAATTATAAGGTGAACTTCAAACTGTTTATGTCTTTTAACCTCAAGGTTCTGCATCTGCCAAATGGGGGACCGGATAATACTTCCTCCAATCTATTTCACAGCTAGCAAGAAAATACTTGTAAGCCATACTTCACATTCCTGACCAAGTCTCTTCCCTCATGAAATAAAATCATTAAGAAATTTTTAGTAATATTTTAATTATCATATTTTAATTAAAAATTTAAGTATAGAAAGAAGACTGTATAGCTCTACATTAAAAACACATTAGTACATGACTTGGCTACTTGACACCAAAGTAGCTGGTGTCACATTCACCCTCCCACGATAAAAAACTATACAATCTGGACAAAATATAGAAAAAAAATTCTTGGCAGTTGTATTAGTCTGTTCTCATGCTGCTAATAAAGACATACCCAAGACTAGGGAATTTATAAAAGAAAGAGGTTTAGTGGACTCACAGTTCCACATGGCTGGGGAGAACTCACAATCATGATAGAAGGCAAAGGAAAAGCAAAGGCACATCTTACATGGCAGACAAGAGAGAGGGCATGTGCTGGGGAGCTCCCCTTTGTAAAACCATCAGATCTCGTGAGACTTATTCACTATCACAAGAACAGCATGGGAAAGACCCACCCCCCATGACTCAATTACCTCTCACCAGGTCCTCAGCATGGTTCAGGTGGGCAAGGCTACACGTGGGAATTATGGGAGCTACAATTCAAGATGGGATCTGAGTAAGGACACAGCCAAACCATATCAGCAGGCATTGAAGAACATTGTTGTACCAAGTCAGGTATGAGATCTTTAAGGAAGGTGAGACACATGAGGTTAGTACCACATTTGCCAGGGTTTTCCAGAAAGGCATCTTCCTGACCTTGGTACAGGAAAATGTGACCCAACCAGAGGTTAGTGGTCTTGGTAACCAAAAGAAGCAAAAAATAGAGTTCAAAGCTAATAAGCTGGTTGGGAATTGGGGGTTAATGTACCATATGGGAGAGAGAAAGAACCCTGGAAATGGGTGTGTAAATGCCATTTTGGTCCTTCCGTGACTCTTTAGCTGTGTGACAGTTGGCTAAGAAGAGGAGAGACCTAGTAGAAAGCAACTGCTGGGAAAGCAGAAGAGATCATCAGGGACTGAAAATTTCCTGGAAACCTACTGGGTTTCAGATCCAGCCAGATGGGGAAATGTTGGTAAACAACTGAGAAACCCAGTTGGGACCCTAAAGATTCTGTCTAAGGAGAGGTACAGTATCCTAGGAGTAAGGCATATGTCCTAAGAGGAAAATAAAATATCATTACCATAGCACAGCTTAAAACTAGGTCTTGAGAGCAGCAAGGTGATCTGCAGGTAATATAACATCTGTCCAGAAAAAAATTCAAAATTTTTGGGCATTTCTATATCATATTATCCAGAAACTCAGCATACTTTTAAAAAGTTACCACATACACAAAAAAGCAAGAAATACAGACTCATAAAAAATAAATCAATTATTAAAAACAAATTCACAGATAATCCAGATATTGGAGTTAATAGATAGGGCATCATAATATCTATGATCAATATAAAGGAAAGAAAGAAAAAATGAAAGACAAAGCAGGTCGTGTCCTATTTCCTTCTGGCAGCTCTAAAATGCTCACTTTATTTATTGGCATAGATTTCGATTTCCTAAATTATGTTTGATGTTTCAAGCAAAAATCATAGCATTGTCTGGTGTTAATCTAAATGGATGTAAGACAATGATACTATAAATTTGAGAGGGTAAAGAGACATAAAATGACATAGGGTTGCTATACTACACTCAAACTGGAATACAGATGACACCAATTGACTGTGATAATGTATGTATAAAGGAATATCTAGAACAACCACTAAGCTATAAAAAGCAACCAGAAAACTATAAAAAAGAAGATACATCATAAACACTATGAATAACAAAATGGAATTCTAAAATAAATGTTCAAATAACCCACAGAAAGTCATGAAAAACAAGCAGAGACACAAGAGTTGATAGAGAAAACAAAAACTGTCAGGCTTATGCACTAAAGTATCAATAATTCATTTAATTATGAATGGTCTACCAAGAGACAGATAATAGAAGAGTGTATGTAAAAGTATGACCCTTTCTTATATGTTTCTTGCATGCTGTGTACAAGAAACTCACTTGAAATTTACCAATACAGGGCAGACCAAATTAACAGGATGAAAAAAGATATATTACACAAACATTAATGAAAGGAAAGCAAGAGTGCCTGTATGTATATCAGATAAAGCAAAGAAAATTACCAGAAACAGAGAGATTATATAATGATCAAAGGTTTAATTCATGAAGAAGACAGCAATTTTAAAAGTGTATTCACCAAAAAATAAAGCTTCAAAATATGTGATGTGAAAACTGCCAGAACTAAGGCGGGCCGGGCTCAGACCAGCGCTGCCTCAGGATGTGAAGTGTAACAAGAGGGCCAGGGGAGGTGGTGGGGGACAACATGGGCCTGTGAGGCCTGTGGGTGCCCGCGTTCCCCAGCTCCCCCCGCAGCCCGCTCCACAGTGGTCCGCTCCGGTTGGTTGTCACGTGCGCATTCGGGTTCCAGACCCAAGGCTGCGTGTTCTCCACCGCTTGTTGTGGCCAGTGTTACTGCGGTGACCGCCAGAGCAGCCTCGACGCTATGGAGGAGCCCGGTGCTACCCCTCAGCCCTACCTGGGGCTGGTCCTGGAGGAGCTACGCAGAGTTGTGGCAGCACTACCTGAGAGTATGAGACCAGATGAGAATCCTTATGGTTTTCCATCGGAACTGGTGGTATGTGCAGCTGTTATTGGATTTTTTGTTGTTCTCCTTTTTTTGTGGAGAAGTTTTAGATCGGTTAGGAGTCGGCTTTACGTGGGAAGAGAGCAAAAACTTGGTGCAACGCTTTCTGGACTAATTGAAGAAAAATGTAAACTACTTGAAAAGTTTAGCCTTATTCAAAAAGAGTATGAAGGCTATGAAGTAGAGTCATCTTTAGAGGATGCCAGCTTTGAGAAGGCGGCAGCAGAAGAAGCACGAAGTTTGGAGGCAACCTGTGAAAAGCTGAACAGGTCCAATTCTGAACTTGAGGATGAAATCCTCTGTCTAGAAAAAGACTTAAAAGAAGAGAAATCTAAACATTCTCAACAAGATGAATTGATGGCGGATATTTCAAAAAGTATACAGTCTCTAGAAGATGAGTCAAAATCCCTCAAATCACAAATAGCTGAAGCCAAAATCATCTGCAAGACATTTAAAATGAGTGAAGAACGACGGGCTATAGCAATAAAAGATGCTTTGAATGAAAATTCTCAACTTCAGACAAGCCATAAACAGCTTTTTCAGCAAGAAGCTGAAGTATGGAAAGGACAAGTGAGTGAACTTAATAAACAGAAAATAACATTTGAAGACTCCAAAGTACACGCAGAACAAGTTCTGAATGATAAAGAAAATCACATCAAGACCCTGACTGGACACTTGCCAATGATGAAAGATCAGGCTGCTGTGCTTGAAGAAGACACAACGGATGATGATAACCTGGAATTAGAAGTGAACAGTCAATGGGAAAATGGTGCTAACTTAGATGATCCTCTGAAAGGAGCTTTGAAGAAACTGATTCATGCTGCTAAGTTAAATGTTTCTTTAAAAAGCTTAGAAGGAGAAAGAAACCACATTATTATTCAGTTATCTGAAGTGGACAAAACAAAGGAAGAGCTTACAGAGCATATTAAAAATCTTCAGACTCAACAAGCATCTTTGCAATCAGAAAACATATATTTTGAAAGTGAGAATCAGAAGCTTCAACAGAAACTTAAAATAATGACTGAATTCTATCAAGAAAATGAAATGAAACTCTACAGGAAATTAACAGTGGAGGAAAATTACCGAATAGAGGAAGAAGAGAAGCTTTCTAGAGTGGAAGAAAAGCTCAGCCGTGCCACTGAACAGCTGGAGACCTATAGAAAGCTAGCCAAAGATCTTGAAGAAGAATTGGAGAGAACTGTTCATTTTTATCAAAAGCAGGTTATTTCCTACGAGAAAAGAGGACATGATAATTGGTTGGCAGCTCGGACTGCTGAAAGAAACCTCAGTGATTTAAGGAAAGAAAATGCTCACAACAAACAAAAATTAACTGAAACAGAGTTGAAATTTGAACTTTTAGAAAAAGATCCTAATGCACTTGATGTTTCAAATACAGCATTTGGCAGAGAGCATGCCCCGAATGGTCCCGCACCATTGGGTCAGCGTTCATCTGAAACGAGAGCTTTTCTCTCTCCTCAAACTTTGTTGGAGGATCCACTGGGACTCTCACCTGTGCTTCCGGAGGGAGGAGGAAGAGGCCCAAGAGGCCCAGGGAATCCCCTGGACCATCAGATTACCAATGAAAGAGGAGAACCAAGCTGTGACAGGTTAACCGATCCTCACAGGGCTCCTTCTGACACTGGGTCCCTGTCATCTCCGGTGGAACAGGACTGTAAGATGATGTTTCCTCCACCAGGACAATCATATCCTGATTCAGCTCTTCCTCCTCAAAGGGAAGACAGATTTTATTCTAATTCTGAAAGACTGTCTGGATCAGCAGAACCCAGAAGTTTTAAAATGACTTCTTTGGATAAAATGGATGGGTCAATGCCTTCAGAAATGGAATCCAGTAGAAATGATGCCAAAGATGATCTTGGTAATTTAAATGTGCCTGATTCATCTCTCCCTGCTGAAAATGAAGCAACTGGCCCTGGCTTTATTCCTCCACCTCTTGCTCCAGTCAGAGGACCATTGTTTCCAGTGGATACAAGGGGCCCGTTCATGAGAAGAGGACCTCCTTTCCCCCCACCTCCTCCAGGAACCATGTTTGGAGCTTCTCGAGGTTATTTTCCACCAAGGGATTTCCCAGGTCCACCACATGCTCCATTTGCAATGAGAAACATCTACCCACCGAGGGGTTTACCTCCTTACTTTCACCCGAGACCTGGATTTTACCCCAACCCCGCATTCTGAAGGTAGAAGCGAGTTCCCTTCAGGATTGATTCCGCCTTTAATGCTACTGAACATCCAGGACCACAAAAGAAACCTGACAATATTGTTGCTTTCTTCAAAAGTAATTTTGACTGATCTCATTTTCAGTTTAAGTAACTGCTATTACTTAAGTGATTGCACTTTTGCTCAAATTGAAGTTTAATGGAATTATAATTCTCAGGATAGTATTTTGTAAATAAAGATGTTTTAAATAGGAATCTTATGAGTAAATCATTCCATTTTATTATTCTAGATCATATAACTATTTTAATTTGGTGAATTAATCCACTGTTATAGAAACAATAATGGGAGTTTTATATATGTAATCTTGCAGGTGGGGAGGCTTTAAATTCTAAAGGTTGTGGTGTCTTCATGCCAAGAACTGTATTCACTGTGGTTGTAGATAAATGTGAAAGTAACTTTATGCTTAATTTAATAAACTTTAGTTGATTTTTTTTTTAAAAAGAAAACTGCCAGAACTGAAAGTAGGTATAGATGAATCCACAATTATAGTTGGAAATTTTCTCTTGCGTTTTTCAATAATGGATAGAACTAGACAGAAAATCAGCAAGGAGTGTTGGCTTTGGCAGCACTTTCTAAAATTAGAATGACACAGACAAGATTAACACGTCTCCTGCATATAGATTACACAAAATTTTGTGAAGCGTTTCATACTTTAAAAGGGGGAAAAAAAAAAGAAAATCAACAAGAATATAAAACAACTCAAAATGCCATTAACCAAAAGAATCTATTTGGCATTTACAGAATATTCCACACAACAACAGCAGAATACACATTTTTTTTGAGTGCTGACGAAACACATGGCAAGATAGAGCTATCCTAGGCCCTAAAACTCACCAGAACAAATTTAAAAGAGATCGTAATCATCCAGAGCAGGTGAAAACCAGAAACCATTGTAGGGAATCCAATTGGAAATCAGCATAAGAAAGATATGAAAATTCCCAAACACTTGGAAATTAAAAAAACACACTTCTAACTAATCTATCGGTCAAAGAAGAAGTCTCAAGGAAAAATTTTAAAAATACATTGAACTGGATAAACATGAAACTGTGACATATCAATGTACTGAGAAGGAAACTTATAGCAGTAAATGCATGCATTAGTAAAGAGGAAAAGTCTCGAGTGAGCAATAGATTTCCACCTCAGGAACCTAGAAAAAGAAGAGCAGAATAAACTCAAAGCAAGTAGAGGGTGGAGATTAATGAAGATAAGAAAAGAAAACACTTATATTTAAAAGAGAAAAAATAGTTAAACCAATAAAACAAAGGGATAGTTCTGTTAAAAGATTAATAAAATTTAGCAAACTCAAACAGAAATTAAAAGGAAAAGAAAAGGCATAAATTTTAAATACCATAATGAAACAGGTGATATCACTACAGACACCACATATAACAAAGGACAATCAAGGAATATTACAAACCACTCCACACACATAAATTAGACAACTTAGACAAAATGGACAAAATGCAGTGTTCCTCCTGCAACACAAGCAAACTCAACTCACCATGCATGAATAGATCATTTGAATAACTCTATAACCATTAAGAAAATTGAATTCATAATTTTAAAACTACCAGAAAAGGAATCTCTAGGTTTAGATGGTTTCACTGGAGAATTCTACCATGTTTAAAAAAAAAAACACCAATTCTACACAATCTTTTCCAGAAAACAGAAAAGGAGAGAACACTCCCCAATTTATTTTTTGAAGCTATTATTACACTGATACCAAAACCAGGAGAGAGAGTGGGTGTGTGTGTGTATATGTAAAGATATGTATAACTTAATATTAACAAATAGAGTTCTACAGTATATTAAAAAAATGTACCCCATGTCCAAGGGGGGTTGTTTCCAGAAATACAAGCCTGATTAAGTCTCAAAAAGTCAATCAAAATAATCCACCATGTTAACAAACAAAAGAAAAGTTACGTTGCATCAGTTGATGCATAATAAACATTTAACAAATTTAACACATTTCAATATCCATTCATGATAAAATCTCTCTATAAAGCAGGAATAGAGGAAACTTTATCCACTTGATAAAAAGCATCTACAAAAAGCTAACATTATACAGTCATGTGTTGTTTAACGATGCGTTAAATGATATGTTCTGAGAAATGTGCTGTCAAGTGAATTTGTCATTGTGCAAATGTCGTAGAGTGTACTTACAGAAACCTAGGTGGTATATATAGTAGCCACTATACACCTTGGCTATATGGAAGAGCTCATAGCTCCTACGGGACAAACCTGTGCAGCATATTAGTGTAGTGAATACTATAGGTAATTGTAACACAGTAAGTGTTATGTTTATGGTAACAATTTGTAATAGTCACCAACTGTGGTATTTATGTAACTAAGTATATCTAAATACATGAAATGTACAGTAGAAAATATAAAAGATTTTTAAGATGGTACACCTGTATAGGGAACTTACAATAAATGGAGCTTGCAGGACTGGAAGTTGCCTGGGCGAGTTAGTGAGTGAGTGGTGAGTGAATATGAAGGCCTAGGACATTACTGGCTGTGGGTTTGTCACAGATAGCTCTTATTATTTTAAGATGTGTTCCATCAATACCTAGTTTATTGAGAGTTTTTAGCATGAAAGGCTGTTGAATTTTGTCAAAGGCCTTTTTTGCATCTATTGAGATAACTGTGTGGGTTTTGTCATTGGTTGTGCTTATGTTACGGATTACGTTTATTGATTTGCATATGTTGAACCTGCCTTGCATCCCAGGGATAAAGCCAACTTGATGGTGGTGGATAAGCTTTTTGATGTGCTGCTGGATTCTGTTTGCCAGTATTTTATTGAGGATTTTTGCATCGATGTTCATCAGGGATATTGGCCTGAAATTTTCTTTTTTTGTTGTGTCTCTGCCAGGTTTTGGTATCAGGATGATGCTGGCCTCATAAAATGAGTTAGGGAGGAGTCCTCTTTTTCTATTGATTGGAATAGTTTCTGAAGGAATGGTATCAGCTCCTCTTTGTACCTCTGGTAGAATTCAGCTGTGAATCCATCTGGTCCTGGGTTTTTTTTGGTTGCTAGGCTATTAATTACTGCCTCAATTTCAGAACTTGTTATTGGTCTATCCAGGGAATCGAGTTCTTCCTGGTTTAGTCTTGGCAGGGTGTATGTGTCCGATAATGTATCCATTTCTTCTAGATTTTCTAGTTTATTTGCGTAGAGGTGTTTATACTATTCTCTGATGGTAGTTTGCATTTGTGTGGCATCAGTAGTGATATCCCCTTTATCATTTTTATTGTGTCTATTTGATTCTTCTCTCTTTTCTTCTTTATTAGTCCAGCTAGCAGTCTATTTTGTTCATCTTTTCAAAAAACAAACAAGCAAAAAAACAGCTCCTGGATTCATTTTTTTAAAAGGGTTTTTTGTATCTCTATCTCCTTCAGTTCTGCTCTGATCTTAGTTATTTCTTGTCTTCTGCTAGCTTTTGAATTTGTTTGCTCCTGCTTCTCTAGTTCTTTGAATTGTGATGTTAGGGTGTCAGTTTTAGATCTTTCCCACTTTCTCCTGTGGGCTTTTATTGCTATAAATTTCCCTCGAAACACTGCTTTAGCTGTGTCCCAGAGATTCTGGTACGTTGTGTCTTTGTTCTCATTGGTTTCAAAGAACTTATTTATTTCTGTTTTAATTTTATTATTTACTCAGTAGTCATTCAGGAGGATGTTGTTCAGTTTCCATACAGTTGTGCAGTTTTGAGTCAGTTTCTTAATCCTGAGTTCTAATTTGATTGCACTGTGGTCTGAGAGACTGTTTGTTATGATTTCCCTACTTTTGCATTTGCTGAGGAGTGTTTTACTTCCAATTATATGGTCAATTTTAGAATAAGTGTGATGTGGTGCTGAGAAGAATGTATATTCTGCTGATTTGGCATGCAGAGTTCTGTAGATGTCTATTAGGTCCACTTGGTCCAGAGCTGAGTTCAAGTCCAGAATATCATTGTTAATTTTCTGTCTTGTTGATCTGTTTAGCATCAACAGTAGGGTGTTAAAGTCTCCCACTATTATTGTGTGGGAGTCTAAGTCTCTTTGTAGGTCTCTAAGAACTTGCTTTATGAATCTGGGTGCTCCTGTATTGGATGCATGTATATCTAGCATAGATAGCTCTTCTTGTTGCATTGATCCTTCTACCATTTTGTAATGCCTTATTTGTCTTTTTTGATCTTTGTTGGTTTACAGTCTGTTCTATCAGAGACTAGAATTGCAACCCCTGATTTTTTTTTTTTTTTTTTTTTGCTTTCTATTTTCTTGGTAAATCTTCTCCCATCCCTTCATTTTGAGCCTGTGTGTGTCTTTGCACATGAGATGGGTCTCCTGAATACAGCACACCGATGGGTCTGGACTCTTTATCCAATTTGCCAGTCTGTCTTTTAATTGGGACATTTAGCTTGTTTACATTTAAGGTTAATATTGTTATGTGTGAATTTGATCGTGTCATTATGATGTTAGTTGGTTACTTTGCCTATTAGTTGATGCAGTTTCTTCATAGTGTTGATGGTCTTTACAATTTGGTACATTTTTGCAGTGGCTGGTACCAGTTGTTCCTTTCCACATTTAGTGCTTCCTTCAGGAGCTTTTGTAACACCGGCCTGGTGGTGACAAAATCACTGAGCATTTGCTTGTCTGTGAA
The DNA here is from genome assembly GCF_000001405.40 of Homo sapiens. Lineage (NCBI taxonomy): Eukaryota > Metazoa > Chordata > Mammalia > Primates > Hominidae > Homo > Homo sapiens. The sequence goes on from NC_000007.14 coordinate 143,578,833, forward strand.
GGATTTTACTTCTCTTTCACTTATGAAGTTTAGTTTGGCTGGATATGAAATTTTGGGTTGAAAATTCTTTTCTTTAAGAATGTGAGGGCAGGGATGCAGCTGAAAAGCTGGCGGCCCAGACAGAAGTCTGCCCCAAGCAGCCTGAGCCCTCAGGCACCCCCCAGCTCCCTGGGAGCTCCCCTCCACCTGCCAACGTCAGTGCCACACTCGTGTCTGAAAGGAATAACAGGAACAGGACAGACTAACCTTTTAAATGACGTGAAAAAATCAGAGGTGAAAATTGTACATTTGGAATGTATTTATGTAAATTTTGTTGAAATTTAGTGTAAACAAAGATTTTCTCAGTGGTCTAGAAAATAAAAAAGAAAAAAAAAGAAAAGAATGTGGAATATTGGTCCCCACTCTCTTCTTGCTTGTAGGGTCCTGCCAAGTCTGCTGTTAGTCTGATGGGTTTCCCTTTGTGAATAACCTGACCTTTCTCTCTGGCTGTCCTGAACAGTTTTTCCTTCATTTCAGCCTTGGTGAATCTGATGATTATTTGTCTTGGGGTTTTTCTTCTCAAGGAGTATCTTTGTGGTGTTCTCTGTATTTCCTGAATTTGAATGTTGGTCTGTCTTGCTAGGTTGGGGAAGTTCTCCTGGATAATATCCTGAAGTGTGTTTTCCAACTTGGTTCCATTCTCCTGGTCACTTTCAGGTATACCAATCAAACGTAGGTTTGGTCTTTTCATGTAGTCCCATATTTCTTGGAGGCTTTGTTCATTCCTTTTCATTCTTTTTTCTCTAATCTTGTCTTCATGCTTTATTTCATTAAGTTGATCTTCAATCTCTGATATCCTTTCTTCCATTTGATTGATTCAGCTATTGATACTTGTGTATGCTTCACAAAGTCATCGTGTTGTGTTTTTCAGCTCCATCAGGTCATTTATGTTCTTCTCTAAACTGGTTATTCTAGTTGGCAATTCCTGTAATGTGTTTTCAAGGTTCTTAGCTTCCTTGCATTGGGTTATAACATGCACCTTTAGCTCAGAGAGGTTTGTTTTACCTACCTTCTGAAGCCTACTTCTGCCAATTCATCACTCATTCTCCATGCAGTTTTGTTCCCTTGCTGGCGAGGAGTTGTGATCCTTTGGAGGAGAAGAGGCTTTCCGGTTTTTGGCATTTTCGGCAATTTTGCACTGCTTTTTCCTCATTTTTGTGGATTTATCTACCTTTGGTCTTCGATGTTGGTGACCTACAACATCGAAGATGAAACCCCATGAAGATGGGGTTTCAGTGTGGATGTCCTTTTTGTTGAAATTGATGCTATTCCTTTCTGTTTGTTAGTTTTTCTTCTAACAGTCAGGCCCCTCTGCTGCAGGTCTGCTGGAGTTTGCTGGAGGTCCACTCCAGACCTTGTTTGTCTGGGTATCACCAGTGAGGGCTGAAGAACAACAAAGATTGCTGCCTGTTCCTTCCTCTAGAAGCTTCATCCTAGAGGGGCACCTATCAGATGTCAGCCTGAGCTCTCCTGTAGGAGGTGTCTGTCAACCCCTAATGGGAGGTGTCTCCTAGTCAGGATGCACTGGGTTCAGGGACCCACTTGAGGACACAGTCTGTCCCTTAGCAGAGCTTAAGCACTGTGCTGGGAGATCCACTACTCTATTCAGAGCTGGCAGGCAGGGACGTTTAAGTCTGCTGAAGCTGTGCCCACAGCCACCCTTTCCCCCAGCTGCTCTGTCCCAGGGAGGTGGGAGTTTTATTTATAATCCCCTGACTGGGCTGCTGCCTTTGTTTCAGAGATGCCCTGCCCGGGGAGGAGGAATCCAGGGAGGCAGTCTGGCTACAGTGGCTTTGCTGAGCTGCTAGCTGCAGTGGGCTCTACCCTGTTTGAACTTCCCAGCAGCTTTGTTTACCACCTATTCAAGCCTCAGTAATGGCAGATGCCCCTCCCCACACCAAGCTCCAGCGTCCCAAGTCAACTTCCAATTATGATGCTCATAATCAAATTATGATGGAAGCGTGAATCTGGCACCAGCTACTTTGGTGTCAAGTAGCCAAGTCACGTACTAATTTATTTTTAATGTAAAGCTATACAACCTTCTTTCTATACTTAAAATTTTAATTAAAATATTACTAAAAATTTCTTAATGATTTTATTTCATGGTGAAAGAGACTCAGTCTGGAATGTAAAGTATGTCTTACAAGTATTTCTCATTTTGCAGGACATTGTCTAGGTGTCCCTCTCCCATGGATGATCATTAGTGTGGTTTATCTTTATGCTTTGAGAAAATAAGTCTGTAGTATGTTATTATATTCTACTATATAAAGATACTCTTCAACTTATGATAAGATTATGTTTCAATAAACCCATCATAAGTTGATACTATTCTAAGTTGAAGATGCTGTTTTTTTTAAACAAAATGTAGACTCTTGCCATGTTGCCCAGGCTGGAGTGCAGTGGCTATTCTCACGTGTGCTCATAGTGCACTATAGTCTCAAGCTCCTTGAGCTCAAACAATCCTCCTGCCTCAGCTTCCTGAGCAGCTGGGACTATAGGCACAAACCACTATACCTGGCTTGAAGATATGTTTAATAAACCTAACCTACCCAACTTCATAGCTTAGCCTAGCCCACCTTAACCGTGCTTAGAACACTAACATTAGCCTACAGTTGGGCAAAATAATCTTACACAAAGCCTATATTATAGTAAACTGTTGAATATTTCATGTAATTTATTGAGTACTGTACTGAAAATGAAAAATATAATGGTAGCATGAGTACTTGAAATATGGTTCCTACTCAATACGTATCACTTTCCCACCATCATACAGTTGAAAATCTTAAGTGAAAGCATTGTAAGTTGGTGACTGTCTGTATTTGTTTATTTATTTTACTACTTTCCCTTTTTCTTGTAATAGTTGAAAGGCATGATAAGGTAAAATATTATTGCCTAAAAATACTCTGCCTCTCTGGAAAATAAAAAAGACAGAAGTTTCCAAGAAATCTTTCAAGAGATATAAAAATCGTATGAAAATGAGATAATTAAAGAATAAATCTGTAATTATGCATGTTGTAAAATACAAATGGGAGGCTGGAAGAGAGACTGTAGATGAGCCGTGAAAATGAAAGCAGAAATAAAGTAGGAATGGAAGCATTCATATAGGAATTGTGAGATATAGTATCTTATTTTTGTTCAACACTAAATAGTTTTCAAGTCTAGCAGAGGACTTGGAAATTTTAAGCTACTCAACAGTGAATCTCAGAGATTTCTTCATTCATCTCACAGTTGGTCTTATATAAATATACAGCTCTGTAATGATTATATGTATCAATTTTTTTTCCAGTCAAGGAGTTTCCCTCCTCATGTTCATTTCTCTGAAAAATACCACTTGGTACTAGATGATGTGAATGGCTGTGATTGAACTGGTTAATTAGGGTAATAGGCTGACATCTTGTTTCAGCAATTAAACAATAAAAAAGATGTTCTTTATTAAGATACGAATCCATTTCTTAAACGAATTGGTTCCATAGATTTCCATAGCATTAACCATGTTGATAATTCAAATGCTTCATCACTGAACAAAAATGCTCAACCTCAGAGACTATCCTTGCATATAAATTTTTTTATTTTCAGTTGAGTATTGGCCAACTCATATCAAACATTGTTCATAGATTTTTTTTTCAAGATGACAATTAGAAGCTTTTAGCATGCCACAGCCACTTGGAAATAGCAAGGCAGTGCATAAAGATAAATACTGTGAGCTTTAATTCAAGAAGGAAAATGGAGATCCACTGGAATTGTGAAGAACACTCCAGATCCTGAGAAGGAGAATGCTGGCAAACAGCCACCATAATGCTGTCCAGCTGAGAAAAGTGAATGAAGTCCCAGCACATGAGAGGTAGAAGCTTCCCTCTGTGACTCACGTTTCCACTGAGGATCAGAGCAATCCAGGCTGAGAGACAGCACTTTGTTTCTCCCAAATCCTGGAGCTAACTTCAGGAGAGGCTTGGAGATGCTGATAGGGACAGACACTGGATAAAGCTACAGGCATTTTCCCAGTCCCAGGACAGAGAACAGGATACCATTTTTAATTTGGGTGCATCTAAAGTCAGCCATTCTTTGGCAACCCAGCAGTGTGGCCATGCAGGCATTTTAGTATTGGGGTAGAGAATGGAGCACCTGCTCTGGATCAGGGTAGGGTCCTCCACAGCCAGAACCATGGAAAATACCTCAACAGTAGGCACGGGAATTGTGCTTTCCCCAGTCACAGGCCTTGGGCAAGAGGAGAGCTGCTATGGCTGTGGTTTCTCCTGGGCAGTGAGACTTTCAGCCAGGGCCAGCCTGATGAACTAGAACTGGTCTGTGTGTGTTATTGCTGGGTGTCCCAGCCTACTTTCCTGAGACTGTGGTGTAGCAGGGCCTTCTCCATTCTACATATAAGCAGATCTCCAAGCATTTAAAGCACCCGCTCTCATGGGCTAGCAGCCTGGGTTGCCCCTTCCTTCCTGTGCAGAGATCCTTGTGCAAGGGGGCCATCTCCACTTCTTGCCCAGGCAGATATCCAGGGATTCAGAGTGCCCATTAGCGTGAATCAGCAGTCTGAGCTGCTCCATTCTTCTGGTGCAGAGATTGCAGTGCAGTGGGACCCTCTCTGCTCCACAGATTTCCAGGTATTTGGAACACCTGCTTGCCTGGAGCAGTAAGTAGCTTGAGCCACCCCATCCTTCCTGCGCAGCGATAGTGGTGCAAGGAGACCCTCTCCACTCCACAACCAGGCAGATCTCCAGGCATCTGGAGCAGCCACTCTCCTGGATTAAGAGATCAGGCTGCCTCTGACACTCCTATGCAGAGAACTTGGGGCCAAGGAGGTTTCCTACCTCCATGCCGAGGCACGCCTCTGGACACTTGGTGGCTGCCCACTGGACTCTCCCTCAGAGCTGGTGCTTGTGCCTATCATTGGGGGACCTGTAGATGGACTTGCCAGGTCCAGCCCTACCCAGTGTTTTTCCAGTAAAGGAGGATCGAGTATATACCCAGCCCCATTGGCTGCAACCTGCTATTACCCATAAGCCCCCATCTACTGGCTTGTAGGTCAAAGTACCCAGCCCAACATAAAACCTGCGGACAGAAGTGCATAGGGTTATGGAAGCAAAGTCAAAAGACCCTACCCAGCATTATCCTCAGTCACATCCTCTAGGGAGAGGAGGAAAGGGAAGGGGAAAGAAACAGAAAAAAAATATATAGGGAAAGGAAGAAAAATAAAAAATCCGAGCTCCGGCTGGCAAGATGGCCAAATAGGAAGAGCTCCAGTCTGCAGCTCCCAGTGAGATCTATGCAGAAGATGGGCGATTTCTGCATTTCAAACAGAGGTACCCGGTTCATCTCATAGGGACTGGTTGGACAGTGGGTGCAGCCCACAGAAGGCGAGCCAAAGCAGGGTGGGGAGTCGCCTCACCCGGGAAGTGCAAGGTGTTGGGGAACTCCCTCTCCTAGCCAAAGGAAGCCATTAGGGACTGCACTGTGACAAATGGTGCACTCTGGCCCAGATACTGCACTTTTCCCACGGTCTTCACAACCCACAGATTGGGAGATTCCCTCCAGTTCCTATGCCACCAAGGCCCTGGGTTTCAAGCACAAAACTGGGCAGCCATTTGGGCAGACACCAAACTCGCTGCAGGAATTTTTTTTTTTTTCCCATAACTCAGTGGAACCTGGAACACCAGTGAGACAGAACTTTTCACTCCCCTGGAAAGGGAGCTGAAGCCAGGGTGTCAAGTGGTCTGGCTCAGTGGGTCTCACCCCCACAGAGCCCAGCAAGCTAAGATCCACTGGCTTGAAATTCTCGCTGCCAGCACAGCAGTCTGAGCTCCACCTGGGACGCTCAAGCTTGGTCGCGGGAGGTTCATCCGCCATTGCTGAGGCTTGAGTAGGCGGTTTTACGCTCACAGTGTAAACAAAGCCGCTCTGAAGATTGAACCGGGTGGAGCCCATCACAGCTCAGTAAGGCCACTGTGGACAGACTGCCTCCTTTCTGGGCAGGGCATCTCTGGGAAAAAAAAAAAAAAAGCAGCAGCCCCAGCCAGGGGCTTATAGATAAAAAACCCCGTCTCCCTGAGATAGAGCACCTGGAAGGAGGGGTGGCTGTGGGCGCAGCATCAGCAGACTTAAACATCCCTGCTTGATGGCTCTGAAGAGAGCAGCGGACCTCCCAGCACAGCCTTGAACTTCACGCTCTGCTAAGGATCAGACTGCCTTCTCAAGTGGGTCCCTGACCTCTATGTCTCCTGATTGGGAGACACCTCCCAGTAGGGGCCAACAGATACCTCATACAAAAGAGCTCTGGCTGGCATCTGGCAGGTGCCTTTCTGTGACAAAGCTTCCAGAGGAAGGAACAGGCAGCAATCTTTGCTGTTCTGCAGCCTCCGCTGGTGATACCCAGGCAAAGAGGGTCCTCCAGCAAACTCCAGCAGACCTGCAGCAGAGAGGCCTGATTGTTAGAAGGAAAACTAACAGACCGAAAAAAATAGAATCAACATCAACAAAAGGATGTCCACTCAGAGACCTCATCCGAAGGTCCCAACATCAAAGACCAAAGGTAAATAAATCCACGAAGATGGGGAGAAACTAGCACAAAAAGGCTGAAAATTCCAAAAACCAGAAGGCCTGTTCTCCTCCAAAGGATCACAACTCCTCACCAGCAAGGGAACAAAACTCAATGGAGAATGAGTTTGATGAATTGAGAGAAGTAGGCTTCAGAAGGTGGGTAGTAACAAACTCCTCTGAGATAAAGGATCATGTTCCAACACAATGCAAGGAAGCTAAGAACCTTGAAAAAAGGCTAGATGAATTGCTAACTAGAATAATCAGTTTGAGAAGAACATAAATGACCTGATGGAGCTGAAAAACACAGCACGAGAACTTCGTGAAGCATACACAAGTATCAGTAGCTGAATCGATCAAGTGGAAGAAAGGATATCAGAGATTGAAGATCAACTTAATGAGATAAAGGCAGAAGACAAGATTAGAGAAAAATGAATGAAAAGGAATGGACAAAGCATCCAAGAAATATGGGACTATGTGAAAAGACCAAATCTACGTTTGATTGGTTTACCTGAGAGTGACACAAAGAATGGAACCAAGTTGGAAAACACTCTTCAGGATATTATCCAGGAGAACTTCCCTAACGTAGCAAGACAGGCCAACATTCAAATTTAGGAAATACAGAGAACACCACAAAGATACTCTTTGAGAAGAGCAACCCCAAGACACAGAATTGTCAGATTCACCAAGGTTGAAATGAAGGAAAAAATGTTAAGGGCAGACAGAGAGAAACGTCAGGTTACCTACAAAGGGAAACCCATCAGACTAACAGTGGATCTCTTGGCAGAAACTCTACAAGCCAGAAGAGAGTGAGGGCCAATATTCAACATTCTTAAAGAAAAGAATTTTCAGCCCAGAATTTCATATGCAGCCAAACTAAGCTTCATACATCAAGGAGAAGTAAAATCCTTTACAGAGAAGCAAATGCTGAGAGATTTTGTCAGCACCAGGCCTGCCTTATAAGAGTTTCAGAAGGAAGCACTAAACATGGAAAGGAACAACCAGTACCAGCCACTGCAAAAACATACCAAATTGTAAAGACCACCAACACTATGAAGAAACTGCATCAACTAGCAGGCAAAATAACCAGCTAACATCATAATGACTTGATCAAATTCATACATAACAATATTAACCTTAAATGTAAATGAGCTAAATACCTCAATTAAAAGACACAGACTGACAAATTGGATAGAGTCAAGACCCAGTGGTATGCTGTATTCAGGAGACCCATCTCACTTGCAAAGACACACATAGGCTCAAAATAAAGGGATGGAGGAAGCTACCCAGAAAAAAGGAAAGCAAAAAAGAAGCAGGGATTGCAATCCTAGTCTCTGATAAAACAGACTGTAAACCAACAAAGGTCAAAAGAACCAAAGATGGGCATTACATAATGGTAAAAAGATCAATGCAACAAGAAGAGCCAACTATCCTAAATATACATACACCAATACAGGAGCACCCAGATTCATAAAGCAAGTTCTCAGACACCTACAAAGAGACTTAGACACCCACACAATAATAGTGGGAGACTTTAACACCCTACTGTGGATATTAAACAGATCAACAAGACAGAAAATTAACAAGGATATTCAGGACTTGAACTCAGCTCTGGACCAAATAGACATCTACAGAACTGTCTACCCCAAATCAACAGAATATATATTCTTCTCAGCACCACATTGCACTTATTCTAAAATTGACCACATAATTGGAAGTAAAACACTAGCATGTCCTTTCAATTCTCTTTTTCTCTCTAAAGGAAAGTGGTGGCATAGAAGCTCCTACTGTCCCTTGTAGGACATTTTTCAGTCTACAGTGATCTCTGTATGTTCACAAAGTCATCAGAGATGCATAGAAAAGAACGCCGTACAAATGGTCATACTCTAAATGCCCAAATGCTCCCATAAATTTGGTTTGAAAATACCCTCACGAAACCTGAATTGACCAGCCTTATAAATTGATGCTATCCATGCCCCCTTCAGTTTGAAAAATGGTGAAGGGATATTAGACACAAAAGAGACTTGGTTGTAAGTTTATTTATAATAAGGATCTTGCACATCCTTGGAGGTCGTTGCTGGTTATTGCTGGTTATATGTTAGGCATATATAGAATCCTAATTATAGGTTTTAGGTCAGAATCAATGCCCAGGCATGGTGGGGTGAATGTATTTACCTAACTCCTGCTTTGTACTTCTTACTATATGCTTAGCCATATATACTAAAATTGTTTTAACTGATTTTCACAAAATAGAACTTTTTAGAGAGTGAGTACAAGTGGCAAAATATGCTGTTTTATAAGAGAGATTGCCAAATCACAATTGTTTTCTTTTCCTTTTAATGAACATTTTTCCTTTTTAATTTTAAAATATGTGCTTCTTGGGAAAAAAGTAAAATAATTCAGAAGCATACAAAGTAAAAAGTGAAAGATCTTTGTCCTCCACCTCATCCTCTGCCTCTCGCTAATTCTTTTCTTCCCCCCTTCCAAAGAAATGATCACTGCTAATGGTTTGGATGGTATCTTGTCTGATGTTTTTCCTACATTTATGTATTGGGGTTAGAGTTGGGAGAGCTGGACTGGTAGAAAGAGACACAGAGAAAAAGAGAGAGATCTGCAACTTGCTCTTTCACTGACTATATCCTGAGCGTTTTTTTCATATCCCTGTAAAAAGATGGGCATCATCCTTTTGAAGAGCATCTTGCATTCAGTTGGATTGTCCTGAAATTCATTTAACCATTTGCCTATTAGCACATTAATGTTATTTCTATTTTTTCTTATAAATAATAATACAATGACTATCTTTTCGCTACCACCCCTAAGCTTGACATACACCTCTTCATTTTAAAGACTTGGTAATTTCCTTTTAGAAACATCTTATTTTGGAAATTTTCAAACACGTAACAGAAATAGAAATAGAACAATGAGCACATGTACTCATCACCCAGGTAATGGTATCAAATCACACCCCACCCACTCCTTAACCTTTCCCGTTTGTTTTGAAGCCAATCTCCAACAGTGTGTCATTTCACCCATAAAATAGTATATCTCCAAAAGATAAAGACAAAATTTTAAATGTAGTCACAATACTGTTATCCCATTTTTAAAATTATCACTATTTTTCTGTCCTAACAAAATGTCAAAAACCATATCATTTTCAAGAGGATTCCATAAGTGTCATCTGTTATGTACCTATATCTGTACTTACCCTTTAGATCAACTGATTATATAATCAGTTAAGTCATGGAAATATAAATAATATATTTATATTATATATTGGTCTAAAGGATAAGTATAGAGATGTATATCACAATTGTTTCATACTCTCAGTGTGATTTTAGAATTGAATTTGGCTTTTGCTTTATATATTTCAAAGCTATATTTTAGGTTTATAAAAACTCATGACTTTTTTATGGCTCATACATTTTTGTCATCTAAAATATTATTTCTTGCATTTAGTATTTTTCACCTTTATTTTGTCTAATATTAATTCTGACTCCTACTTTGTTTTACTTGTTGATCTTTTTATTCTTTCTTTTGCTTTTAAAGATACATCTCTTAGTACAAATCTGATTTTTTAACCCAATTGAGGGTTAAAAATTTATATAATTAAGGACATTGATGTTTTTATATAATTAAGGACATTGGTGTTTTTCTTCTAGTTCCATCATCTTATTTGATGTTCTTTGTTAAACAGTCTCGTTGCTTCTTTTCAAATTTTCCTTTGCTGCCTTTAGCTTGATTGATGGAGTTTCTTTTCCCCTTCTCTCTGTTTAGAAGTTATACACAATTTTTGTATCATTATTATAGCTACCTTTAATTTTTCCCAGCTCTTTCTTTCAAATTTTTCACACTTAAGGAAAAGTTGTCAGAATAACATAATAATCACCGCACCCTTTACCTAGATTCACCAGTGGTTACATTTTGCCACATATGCTGCATAAGTATACATACGAAGAGATTATTTGGCCTAGCCATTTGAGAGTAACCTACAGATCTCAAGAATGAAGGAGGCAGGTGATGGATATGACACTTCATACCTGAATACTTCAGCCTGTATCTCCTAACAAGGACATTTTCCCATATAACCACAATACAGTTATCTCACTCAAAACATGTAACATTGATAGAATGTTGTTATCTAATGTCCATGTTCAAACATCTCTAATTGTTCAAAAAAATCCCTTTTTTAGATTTTTTAAGATATAGGATCTAATCAAGTTTCCATATCATATTTCTTTAGTCTCCTTTAATCAAAATAGTTCCCTAGCTTTTTTTTAAATCTTTCAGGACATTAGTATTTTTGAAGTATGCAGTCCCGTTGTTTTATGGAATGCCCTTCAGTTTGGCTTTGTCTAATTGTTTTTTTTTTCATGATTACACTCAGTTCACACATTTTTGGCAAGAAAATAATTTATGTTGTTTTCATCACAGTGTCACAAATTAAAGGTGCATGAGGTCAGTTTGTCCAATTACTGGTGATGTTAAAATTGGTCATTTAATTAAACTGGAGTTTGCCAGATTTTCCTATTTTACTGATTTTATTTATTATATTTTATTTCTACTTATTTTATTCCTTTCCCCCTTTTTTAAAACTAATTTAGTGTGTGACAATTTGAGATCTGTATGAATATCCTGTTTGCCAACAACCTTTCACCCAGTGGTTTTAGCTTTCATTGGTGATCTGTGCCTGAGTAAATATTTATGAAAGTGGCTACTTCTACCACTTCAGCCACTTCTGAACCTTTCTTCAAAATTCATCTCAGGTATCACATCTTTAGAAAGCTGTCCCTTACTCCTCTCCTCTCATTCTGATATAGATGAGTCTTTTGTGCTCCCATACTAACCTAACATCTTAGCACTTACCTCAGGCTAAGTGTTGGTTTACTTGTAGATTTCTATAAGAACTGATTGACATCCTTTGGTAAATAAGACCTTCGCTTCCCCACCTTCACATTTACTGTTAGGGTTGTTCTTCTTTTTAAACGTTTGTTTTAGTATCACCCTATACTCATGGATCCTTTTCTTTTAAGATCGAATACATTACAATCCATTTATAGTCAGTATTTTTTGAAGGCTAAGTTGTCCCAAATTTGGCAAGTTAAAGCCTCGTTAAGCTGTCTCCTGAGCCCATCAGTTTTTTTTTTAGTATTTACTTAGTTTCTGACATAAAAAGATGTTGCAAGGTTACCTTGTACTTTTCTGGTTCAAAACCTGGATTCAGCCATTTCCTCAAGGAATGCTAGTTCCTTTTAGTGGTGAACGGTATTTAGAAACCAAGATCTAAAGCATGCTCAGTGCTATGGTGTCATCATTTCTGGGTTCTGAGAGAGCCATATCTTTTAATCATACATTCACACTGATACCCCCAATTTTACTTCAAAACCACAGGATTCTTCTTCTCTTTCACTCATTCCATATTAGTATTTTTCTTCTGCCATAGTGAGAATCCTGGTTTCAACAGCTTCAACATTTACCTATTTGCTCAGTCCAATAATACACACAAACGAGTTTCATGATTCCTATACCCATACTATTGCCAATAACAAACTTGATAAGTTATTTTTGCCTTCTGAATACACCACACTGAGCATATAGAGTCCAGCAAGTACTATATTCAAAAGTATTCAAATTGCTTTTTACATTTGGGCCTGTTTTTATTCCATGTGGGGTTTTCTCCATATTTGTTTATTTAATTTTATTTTATGAATGCTAACAGCATGGCTACAATAGCAGAATACACATTCTTTTATGTGCACATGAGATAGTCATGAAGATAGACCGTGAAGATAGACCATCTGCTGTGCTATAAAATCAGCCTTAGCAAGAGTAAAAGAATTGAAATCATACCATATATGTCCTCATCACAGTGGAATTAAATTAGAATTCAATAACATATCTGAAAAATTCCTAAATATTTGTAAATTTAAAAATGTTTCTAAATACTCCTTAAGTCAAAGCAGAAATTACAAAGGAAATTAGAATATATTTAGAACTGAATAAAAATGAAAGCATAACATGTCAAAAATTGTGCAATTCTATTAAAACAGTGCTAAGAAAGATATGCCTTTAAATACTTTTATTAGGAAAGAAGAAAATTTGAAACTCAGTGAACTATGTTTCCATATTAAGAATCTAAAAAAGGAAATTGAATTAAACCCAAAATCTGTAGAAGAAACGAGGAAATAATAGAGCAGAAATCTGTGAAACAACTTTAAAAAAAAAAGTAAACAGTAAAACCAAAAGCTGATTAGTTGAAAAAAAATCATTAAAAGTGATTAACCTCTAGATAAGCTATGAAAATAGGAGAGATAACACAAATTATGGATTTCAGGAATAGAAGAAGGAATATTAGTACAGATCCTACAGACATTAAAAGGATAGTAAGGGAATATTACAACTTTATGCCAATAAATTTGACAATTTAGATGAGATAGATAAATTTCCTGACAGCCAAAAATTACCAAAATGGATACAAAAAGAAACATGAAATATATGCTAAATAAATTGAATTGTAATTTTAAACATTCCAACACTAAATGCAATGTGGTATCCTGGATTGGATCCTAAAAGACATTGGTGTGAAGAGTGATGATATTTATATAAAATCTGGAGTTTAGTTAGTAGTGTTTGATCACTGTTGACTTCTTAGTTTTGACAAATGTATAATGGATGTTTTACTATATTGCAAGTTTTCGATTTTCTTACATTTTAAAATAGAAATTGTATTTAAAATCAACAACGCAAAGAAAATTCCAGGCCCAGACAGCTTCATTGATGAATTTTATCAAACATTCAAGGAACAAATAATACAAATCCTACATAAACTCTTTTTAAAAATAGAAAAGGAAGATTTTCCAACTTGATTTATTAAAACAGCATTTCTCTAATACTGAAACCAGAAAAGGACATCGTAAGAAAACTACAAAACAATATCCTTCATGAATATAGATGAAAAATTATTAATAAAATATTAATAGAATACGGAAATATATAAAAAGAAGAATACTTCATGACCAAGTAAGGCTATCCTAGGATGAATGACTGGTCTAACATTCAGTAATCAGATTAACTCACCATATTAATAGAATGAATGAGAAAAACCATGTAATTCAAGGCTGGGCATGGTGGCTCATGCCTGTGATCCCAGCACTTTGGGAGGCCAAGGTGAGTGGATCATTTGAGATCAGGAGTTTGATTTGAGACCAGCCTGACCACCATAGTGAAATGCTATCTCTATTAAAATACAAAAGTTAGCTGGGCATGGTGTTGTGTGCCTGTAGTCCGAGCTACTGGGGAGGCTGAGGCATGAGAATCATTTGAACCTGGGAGGCAGAGGTTGCAGTGAGCTGAGACCGTGCCTCTGTACTCAGCCTGGGCAACAGAGTGAGACTGTCTCAAAAAAAAAAAAAAAAAAACCAAAAGAAAAATAAAAACCATATAATTCAATAATACACATACAAAATATTGACCAAATTCAATACCAAATCATACCAAATTATGATAAAATTTCAGCAAATGAGAAATAAAAAGGAACTGCTTCAACCTGATAAAAATGTCTACGAAAAATATATAGTTAAAAATATTCTTAAAGGTGAATACTGAACATTTTCCCCTAAGACTGAGAACATGACAAGGAATAATACCTGCTCTCACCTCTTCTATTCAACATTGTGCTACAGGTCCTACCCAGTGTAATAAGGCAAGGAAAATAAGGCATAGAGATTGGAAATTTAAAAAAATATATATATATGTGTTTTGTTTTTCTAGAACACTGAGCCAAAAGACAGGAAATGTTTGAATCTTGGTGTTGGAAAACAAATTTAAAAGAAAAAAGTATTTTACACATTTAGAAGATTTTTAAATGACAAGATCCATTTAAACATAAAGTTAGAGCATTTCCTAGAATGGAATTATTTTATTTTTAGAAGTATTTGCAAAAAGCATGATCATCTATGTAAAAAAAAATCCTAAAATATCTACAGTAAAGCTATAATAATTAATTTTAACAAGGTTGTAAGATACAAAATTCAATTTACAAAAACCAATTACTTTTTTAATATATTAGCAACCAGCAATTGGTAATTACAATTTTAAAATACAACATTTAAAATAGAACCCAAATTATGAAGTAGTAAGTGTTAAATTTAACAAAATATGTCATGAGACCTGTATGGTGAAAACTACAAAACATCTCTGAGAGAAATTAAATAAAACCTAAAGAAATGGAGAAATATACCATGTTGATGGATCAGAACACTTGATATTTTAAGATGTCAGTTTCCCCATTAACCTACAGATTTAATGCAGTCCATAGTTCAAACCGATTCTAAAAATATACAAATGAAATGGAACTAACATAGGCTAGTTTTAAGACTTTTTACAGAAATGAAGTAGTCAAAACACTTTGATATTGGCATAAAGATAGACATGCAGATCAATGAAACAGACCAGATAGTTTAGAGATAGACCCACAAATTTATGGTAAATTGTTTTTTGACAGAGTTGCTCAGGTAATTCTATGAGGAAATTACAGTCTTTCCAACATATGGTTCTGGAACAACTGGATACCCTTATGGAAAAAAGGTGAATTGTGACCCTCACCCTACTCCATAAAAGCAAATATTTAAAAATAGATCTAGACCTAAATGCAAAAGCTAAATTTTAAAAACTTCTAAATGAAAGCATAGGAGAAAATATCTGTGACCTTGACCTTTGCAATTTTTGCCTACATAGGACACAAAAAGTACATGAACCATAAAAGGAAAAGATTAATAAATTGAGCTTTATTTTTAAAAAGTAAATAGCTCTGCAGTTCAATAGACAGTATTAAGGAAACAAAAAGGCAAGCCATAGACTGGAAAAAAAAATATTTGCAATACTTATATCTGACAATGGACTTGCATTCAGAATACATGGAGAACTCTTATATTCCAATAATAAGACCACCTATGTTTCTTTGTTTTTGTTTTGTTTTTTGAGACAGGGTCTCCCTTTCTGTCTCAGGCTGAAGTACAGTGGCACGAACATGGCACTCAAGCAATCCTTCCTCCTCAGCCTCCTGAGTAGCCAGGACTACAGGTGCACGCCACCACACCTGGCCATTTTTAAAATTTTTTGTAGAGATGGAGTCTTGCCATGTTGCCCAGGCTGTTCTCAGACTCCTGGGCTCAAGCAGTCCTGCCTTGGCCTCCCGAAGTGCTGGGATTATAGGCATGAGATACCACACCCTGCAAGTTTTTTTTTTTTAAGCCAAAATAGTTTAACACACTTCACAAAAGATAAAATATAAAAGGCCAAAAAGCCCAAATGATTCTCACTATCATTAGTCATCAGAGAAATGCAAAAAACTAAAATCACAATGAAATGCCCTATGGCCCCATAAAAATGGCTAAAATTAAAGACTCGCTATATGAATTGCTGACAAGAATGTGGTTTTATACATTGCCAGTGGGAATATAAAATGACACAACCACTTTGGAAGACGGTTTGGCAATTTCTTATAAAGTTAACTGACAATTAACATACAATTTTGCCATTTCATCACCCTTTATCCAAGAGAAAGGAAAACATGTCCACACAAAAACTTGTACATTAATGTTTAGGGCAGCAAGCCCAAACCAAAGACTACCCAAATGTCCATCAACAGATGACAGGATAAACAAAGTGTAGCCTATCTCCAGAATGGCATAATACACAGCTGTAGAAGACGATGCATTACGGATAGATGCCACAGTATGGATGGTTCTCACAAAGTTATTCTGAGTGAAAGAAGCCAAGCTCAAAGGAGTACATACTTTATGATTACATTATATGAAGCTTTAGAAAAGACAAATGTTTATGGATAGAAAGCACATCAGTAGTTGCCTGCGGTTGTGTGTGGGACAGTCTCAGCTCACTGCCAGCTCCACCTCCCAGGTTCATGCCATTCTGCTGCCTCAGCCTCCCGAGTAGCTGGGACTACAGGCGCCCACCACCACGCCTGGCTAATTTTTTGTATTTTTAGTAGATGGGGTTTCACAGTGTCAGCCAGGATGGTCTCGATCTCCTGACCTCGTGATCCGCCCACCTTGGCCTCCCAAAGTGCTGGGATTACAGGCGTGAGCCACCACGCCCAGCCTAATCAATAATCTTTTAGAGTAGCCTGTCCCATTTTTTCACGAGAGAGGTAATATATCTTCTTAGAACTTTCTGATGATATGCAATACCTACTTAGAACGTTCTTCTCCATTTGTTGCTATTGTTCCCTTGGGAGTTTAGTTGGGTGCTTCTCTTTCATGCTGTTAATTTTCGTCAGATATTTGGTGGTTCTTGTCTATTTAAATTTTAAATTACATTTAAATCCTAGGTTGATCATTATTGGTTACTGCAGAGCATTTTCTTGGGACAAATGATAATCTTTGGTCCTTTGTTCCCCTGATCTTCTCTTTCACATGTACGCAGTTAGATTCTTCTGTTCTCATGGCTTTCCAATCAATCAGATACCATTTGATTTATATTTTTTATAAATGTCCCCACTATCTCAGTTTGTTGATGGCACCCTTCTCAAAATCCAATGCTATTATGGATTTACTGAGTTTCACTCTGTCGCCCAGGCTAGAGTGCATTGGCATGATCTCAGCTCACTGCAACCTCTGCCTCCCAGGTTCAAGCAATTCTCCTGCCTCAGCCTCCTGAATAGCTGGGATTATAGGCACCCGCCATCATGCCCCGCTAATTTTTGTATTTTTGTAGAGACAGGGTTTCACCAGGATTTATTTTTTTAAGTAACTTTTGTTTCACTTCAGAAGAGGGTAAGGAAGAGAAGTAAAATCCAACTCATTTTTTCAACACATGAAAGAATTACTTAGCCCCTACTGTATATAAATCGTGGCTGTTGGAACTAATAGACAGATGCCTCCGAGGGTGCCCCCTGGCTAAGCACTGAGCAAGACCTCATGTAGTCTCATTGTTCAGATGAAGTTCTAATAACTCAGTGTCTGAATCTCAGCTTTGTAGGTTTAATTTCTCTCATCAGTAGGCTCATGTAGAAATCCTGAAGCTGATGTATTCACTTAGAGCACAGTAGCCCACCTCTTCACTGATTTTACTCTTAAAAAAAAATAATTGCATGAACTTCGTAAACAAGGCCAGGTGCCATGGCCTATAATCCCAGCACTTTGGGAGGCCGAGGCAGGAGGATTGCTTGAGCCCAGGAGTTCAAGACCAACCTGAGCAACATAGTGAGACCCCCCCCCTTCTCCATTAAATTAAAAAATCAAAAATAAAAGAGAAAAAAATTATAAACAGAACTCTAATTATAAGAACTAAAACACATTTTTCATTAAATTTTGTATACATGTTTAAAGGACTACAACTGAAAATGAATTTTAAAAAATTTTAAGAGTCACCAAATTAAATACAGACTATCCAAAATGTTGCTTGAATAAAATAAATAAATGTTACAAATCTAGAATATTCTGGTTGGCCTAGCCAGTGACTTCTTTCTCTCATTAGGCAGGTGATCATGGAAAGCAGTATTACAATCACAGAGTTGTTTGGTAAGCCTCGAATCAGAGCAAGAAGAGATAGTTGAATGATGTTAATGATAGTTCTTTACCGAGTTAGAGAGTCATCCACCAATTAGTATGGTGGTAGCTTTATCTTTAGTAAAGGTTCATACTTGCTAAGAGGACCATAGCTTTCCCATCAGTAGAGCTCTGCCAGCCATAGAGAGTACAGCACGAACACTGCAAATTTGTTGTCTACCTGACCCCCATTTTTTGGTGTTATCTTACAGCTGCATCCTACTATACTATAGTAGCTGCATCCTACTATACTTTACCTAACAAAAGTGACAGAACCAACTCTGGAATCTCAAGCTCAGAGAGGCCACTCTATTCCTTAACTCCACCTTATCCAGTGTTCCATCTCATTTTGGATTTATGGGCATCTTGAGGGCTTCTAGGGCTGGATTACCCACAGACAGTAAACAGATGGTGCTGAGCAAAACCTTACAGCATGGATGTGCATCACTCCTGTTGGGCAGGCAGTGAAAAAGTGGAGTTCTAGATGCAGACAGTAAAGTCCTCTTGGGCTCAGGTAACCAGAGGGTCTCACTAGAGTTGAGGCCAGTCAGTTCCCCTACCCCACCTTTTGAGATAATAATGATTCTTCACTAGCACTACTGACTTGTCCTTCCACAGACTTTATTTGTAGGAAATTAGCTGCAATTTCCTGCAATTTATAAATAAGACTCCTTATAAGGAAAAAAAAACATGATTTCCCATTTTTTTATATGTATTGTTTAGAGGGTTGAAATAACCATGAACTAAAATCTGGAGTATTTAAGACATGGTACTGGATAAACACAGCAGGGCTCCCTTTGCAATTTCCATTGGAGAATTTGTGCTCTAAGAATGAGCAGAGCAGAATTAATGCTGAGTCCCTCTGCCACCCCTCCAACAAGTCTCCATACCCAGTGAGGTCAGAGCTGTCCATTTTGTTCTCCCAACTTTCCCCTAAGAACTAAAAATAACAATATTAGCAAAGCTAACACATCTATAGCGCTCACTGTATGCCATCCACTGTTCTAACAGCTTTATATAGAACTGTACCTCTAATAAAGAATGCATGTGTCTTTTGCAGTTGTGAAGATGACCTCTCCGACGACAGAGAAGAGCTTCTGCATGGGATTTCAGAGCTGGACATCAGCAACTCGGATTGTTTCCCATCCCAGCTGCTAGTGCATGGGGCTTTAGCCTTTCCTCTAGGGTTAGATTCCTACCATGGCTGTGTTATAGCGGCTGCCCGCTATGGCCGGGGCCGGGTGGTTGTGACTGGCCATAAGGTATTATTCACTGTTGGTAAACTGGGCCCCTTTCTGCTCAATGCTGTCCGCTGGCTGGATGGGGGCCGCAGAGGCAAGATTGTGGTGCAGACAGAGCTGAGAACCCTGAGTGGCCTCCTCGCAGTGGGGGGCATAGACACCAGCATCGAGCCCAATCTGACCAGTGATGCAAGTGTCTACTGCTTTGAACCCGTGAGTGAAGTGGGGGTCAAGGAACTGCAGGAGTTTGTAGCAGAGGGTGGCGGGCTATTTGTTGGAGCCCAAGCCTGGTGGTGGGCCTTCAAGAACCCCGGAGTGTCCCCTTTGGCTCGATTCCCAGGAAACCTCCTCCTCAACCCCTTTGGCATCAGCATTACAAGCCAAAGCCTCAATCCAGGGCCCTTTCGTACTCCTAAAGCAGGGATAAGGACCTATCACTTCCGCTCCACCTTGGCCGAGTTCCAGGTTATAATGGGCAGGAAGAGAGGAAATGTGGAAAAGGGCTGGTTGGCAAAGCTGGGACCAGATGGTGCAGCTTTCCTGCAGATTCCCGCAGAAGAGATCCCTGCCTACATGTCTGTGCATCGACTCCTGAGGAAGCTGCTAAGTCGATATCGGCTTCCAGTAGCAACCCGAGAGAACCCTGTTATCAATGACTGCTGCAGAGGTGCTATGCTTTCCCTGGCCACAGGGCTGGCCCACTCTGGAAGCGACCTCTCTCTGTTAGTCCCAGAAATTGAAGATATGTACAGCAGCCCCTATCTGCGCCCCTCAGAATCTCCTATCACCGTCGAGGTCAACTGCACCAATCCAGGTAAGGAACAAGGGTTGGAAGCTCAGTATTATGGGAATGGGGGAATGGGGACAGGCTGACATCAGCAGTCCATTTCAGGGACCCGATCATGTCCAGAAGGTGGTCTCCATTTTTTACCATGAACTTTGAAGAAGATAAGGGTTGGGATTTTAAGTACTGTTTGGAAGAGTTGAGTCAAGGCAGCATGTAGGGGAAGATACGTGCTTACGAAGGGTCTCTGGTGATGCTGGGTGGAGGTGGCATCATGGAGGAGGGATAAAGTCTGCCTACCCCTCCTGCTTTTGGCAGGCACCAGATATTGCTGGATGAGTACTGGGCTCTACATACCTGGAAGGCAAATTATAGAAGTCTCACTGCCTGAAGCTGCTGCCTCTGCCGACCTGAAGGTAAGGCCATGCCCCACCTCACCATGTAACATGGAAGCCAAAGGCTCTTCCTAGCACAGTCAGTATCTTATTTGATTCTCACAAAGCCCTGTTGGTAATACAGAGCAGGTGATTTTACCCTTGTTTTAAGGATGAAGTAACTAAGGTGCAGAAAAGCTGATTGATTGATTGATCGATTGAAATGTATAGAGCTAATACAAATAAGTGCCCAGGACTCAAACCTAACTAATTTCTGGCTCTTAAGTTTTGTGCTTTTGACCTACATCCTAGAGTAGGGAATAAGAGGTATCAAATGGAAGGTAACCTAGCACAGAGTAGGCATTCAGTAAATCGGAGTTCACTGTTCATCTCCGTATCCATTCCCATGGTAGCACAAGGTCTTTCTGACTTCAGCTTCTTCCCCATGACATCCAAGACCATTCCTCAATTGCCCAGTTCACCTTCCCTCTGTCACTTTCACATAGAACCCATTTGCAAAGTTAGTTTGCTGTCCTTCCCTATCCCCCTTGGGGGTCACTGTGATGGTTAGCATCTATTCTGTGCCTGTACCTATCCTGGAACTTGATTAGCATAAACCCAGGGAAAAGAATCCTAGGACTCTACCAAGTACCTGCCCAGGAAGAGGGCTTGGAGAAACCCTCCACTATCTTAGCCAGATCACACCACCTCCCACTGGGCCCTCTCTCTGATCAGCAAAAGGCAGGGTTCCCTCTGCCCCATTCCAAATGCCAGAATCACCACCATGAGATAGGCGATCAAGTGTTCTATTTGTTAGCAACACCAGGAGACCGGGTGTGGGAGTCAGCCCTCCTCAGAATTGGCCTTACAGGTTACACCTGGCACTTCTCACATTAATGTCTATCTAACATGACCCATTATGGAGCTGTTTGAATGCTTTGGGAAAATATTTATATATACTTCAGTCCATATGCCCCAAGGAATGCTACAGTTTCTTGGGGTATCACACATGGTTCATCTGTGGTGGGAAGGCTGGGCTCGCTTGGGTTCATGGCTGAATGACCCATCCTGAGTCCCTTGCTGGGCTCTCTTCTTCCACCCACTCGTGCCCCATGGTGACTCCTTGAGGGGGGGATCTTTCTGCTCCAGATACAGATTGGCTGCCACACAGATGACCTGACCAGGGCCAGCAAGCTTTTCCGAGGCCCACTCGTAATTAACCGGTGCTGCTTGGACAAACCCACAAAATCGATCACGTGCCTCTGGGGTGGACTCCTCTATATAATTGTGCCTCAGAACAGCAAACTGGGTTCTGTGCCTGTCACCGTGAAGGGGGCTGTGCATGCTCCATACTACAAGCTGGGTGAGTGGGAGCTCTGGGTGCCCCTGAGGGAAGGGGAAGAACTGAGATGAGGATTCCAGAGAGCATGGGAGTCCAGGAGGTGACTAGAGTCTGTTTGGTGCAGAAGGAGAGAGACACGGGCTAACAGAGGAATAAGGGTCAGCTTCCTTAGATTCAGCTTTGGGGTTGTACAGATAAAGACCAAACCACATCCTTGGAGACTTCATAGAAGGATAGAGAAAAGGGATATAGCCTCAGCAAACTAACACAGGAACAGAAAACCAAACACCACGTGTTCTCACTTGTAAGTGGGAGCTGAACAATAAGAACACATGGACACAGGGAGGGGAACAACACACATTGGGGCCTGTCAGTGGGGTGGGTAGCGGGGGTGGATGGAGGGAGACCATCAGGATAAATAGCTAATGCATGCTGGGCTTAATATCTAGGTGATGGGTTGATGGGTGCAGCAAACCACCATCACACATGTTTACCTATGGAACAAACCTGCACGTCCTGCACATGTATCCCGGAACTTTACATTTTTTAAAAAAGAGGAGGGATATGGCAGTTCATGATTTTGTTGTTCTCTTCCTGGAGTCTAAGTTGTATGTTGTAATTTAAGGGATTTGGGAAAGGATTTCAAGCTCCATGGTCTCTCTTCCTAGGGGAGACCACCCTGGAGGAGTGGAAGAGGCGTATCCAGGAGAATCCAGGGCCCTGGGGAGAGCTGGCCACGGACAACATCATTCTGACCGTGCCGACCGCAAATCTTCGTACTCTGGAGAACCCTGAGCCGCTGCTCCGCCTCTGGGATGAGGTGATGCAGGCTGTGGCGCGACTGGGAGCTGAGCCCTTCCCTTTGCGCCTGCCTCAGAGGATTGTTGCCGACGTGCAGATCTCAGTGGGTGGGTGCTCCAAGCAAACCCTCTGTGCATGCTGCCTCTGAGCGCCTTCCTGTCTTTCATCAGCCATGCAGTGGGCAGCCAGTAGGGGAAACATATTTTGCTAGCAAGACATATAGATGTATCCTTGTTATTTAAATGGGAAGGAAATATATATAATATATATTATATATTATATATATAATATATATTATATATTATATATATAATATACTGTTTTATATACATACTGTTTTATATACATACATATATATACATATATATATATACTGTTTTATATATATACTGTTTTATATACACATATACATATATACATATATATAATATATAATATATATTATATATATAATATATATTATATATTATATATATAATATATAATATATATTATATAATATATATTATATAATATATATTACATTATATATATGTATATATGTATATGTGTATATAAAACAGTTTAGGTCAGCATGTCAAGGACATCAAGAAATGCCACCTGAGCTTTCACAGGTATTCATCAGGGACTTCAAGCCGGTAAAGATGGCAGAGGGCCGTGACCTAGGTCAGAGTTGTTGGGTTGGAAAAGGGAATTTTACAACTTTAAGAACACACTGAATAAAGCGATCTTTGCCTATGGTCAAGGAACATGAAAAGTGAGGGAAATATACAGACATTAAAGAACCATGGGAATTTCTCTGGACCCTCATTTTCTTTCTTATACGGATGTTCACTGTAAACTTGTGTTGATATGGCAACTCCATATCTGAACAATGAGAGAGGAGCTACCCTTAAAGAGCTCTGAATTTTGAGAAAAGGTTATAGTGACACAGATTCACATGGATAAGGCATCCTCATCAAAATAGAAAAATTGAATGGTAACATGAACAGCTCCTTATATATAAGCTGCATCTCCTTCCATAGCCACACTATTCTGGGTCAGAGTAGAGATGAAGGAATTCTTCCAGAATGAAAAGAGGAGAAGGAACACCTAGCAGGGTCTTGGTTTGGGTTGCTTTTCTGAGTATTATGGTGTGCTGGAATTTGGCTGGGGTTACTGAGTGTTTTGGAACACACACAAAACATAGAAGAATATTACGACTTAAATGGGGAGGACCCTAACTCTGTCTTCCCTCCTTCTGCATTTTCCAGGCTGGATGCATGCAGGGTACCCCATCATGTGCCATCTGGAGTCAGTGCAGGAGCTCATCAACGAGAAGCTCATCAGAACCAAGGGGCTGTGGGGCCCCGTCCATGAGCTGGGCCGCAACCAGCAGCGGCAGGAGTGGGAGTTCCCACCACACACCACCGAGGCCACCTGCAACCTGTGGTGTGTGTATGTGCATGAGACGGTCTTGGGCATTCCTCGAAGCCGTGCCAATATTGCTCTGTGGCCCCCAGTTCGGGAGAAGAGAGTCAGAATCTACCTGAGCAAGGGTCCCAATGTGAAAAACTGGAATGCATGGACCGCACTGGAAACGTATTTACAGGTACTGGGCAAGAATGGCGGGTGATGGGGGACCCCTACTGCGGGGACCATCAGGGCAACTATCGGATAATGTTCTAGTGGCCCAGAAGACCACCCATGGCCCCTGTCTCCCACACTGGGATATGGGAGGCCCTGACAAAGTCCAACTGTGACAGTCGTATTGATGATGTCTCTTAGTGCATCGCCTTGCATGACCCTCAGGTGGATTTCATTGCCTGAGCCTCACCTTCCACCCCATAGAGATATATGATAGTAAATAGAAAGCACTGAGAAAGGTTAAAAATGGTAGAGACAAATAAAGTACTATACATATATTCACTCTCTCTGGCTTTAAAGCCAGACATACCTGAGACTGAAGCCAAACTCTCCTACTTAATAGCTATCTAAAACCAGTTCCCCCCAACCATACACATAATCCATAGGATATGACTTATTTTTTTTTTCCTTAGATGAATGTACCATCTTCTCACTATGCCTTGGCCGTGCCTCAGAGCCCCCATTATGTAGGCAATCCAAGAGTCCTCACTGACCTGGACAAGGAGGTGGCCTTGCCTTTGACCAGTTGTTTAATGCCTAGTTCCCTCCCTGCAATGCCTGGATCAGTTCCTGGCATGAAACTGGAGAGTTTCATCACCTTGAATTTCAGAACTCAGTCTCAGGCCAAGCATGCTCTATTCTGGTTCTTCCACCTGCTGGAGGCTCTCTTATTCATTCCCACTGCCGTGAGAATTATGGGAAAACCAAGGAGGCTCCACTTTAACCTTGTTATGGCTGCTTTGCCCCAGGAACACCAAGTTTCTCATTGGTGAAATAAATGTGAAGTTGGTCTGGGGAACTGCTCAAGTGCCTCATAATTCAAGCTCTGTAACTCAACAGCCTCAAGATGGCTGCCTTTTTCAAAAATTACAACTTATTCTTAATTCTAGTTACCCAGACAATCTGCAGTCTTCTACTTCTATCCAACTCACTTTTTTTCCCCAAAAGCCATTTTAATACCCTTGCACATTGACAAAGATCTATGATTAATGAGGATTTCTTTGTGCCAGGATGAGGTGGAAGTTTCCCTATTGTTGAGGTTTCACTTTTCAACTCTTGAGAAGAGGATTTTTCCAATTCTGCCAATTTTAAATCCTTGTGTAATATCCTATCTCTATTTGCGTGATCTAGTGGGATACGTGGGTAATGATACTGGTAGAAAATATTGATATTAATCATTGCAGTTGTTACCATGGCCCTCACTGATTTAGTATCCACTTGGTGTTGAACACTGTGCTGGTCCCAAGGCCCTTCCTAAGATTAGAATGTGGAAGAGCAGGGCATGAGGCCAGGAGGCAAAATGGAGGAGAGCAGGTCGGTGATAGACGTGAAGCCGATGGGTAAGGGGTTACATATACTAAGTTCACTTATTATAGTGGTTGTTGTTGGACCCTTTTTTATTTCCAAATCTGATCTGTATTTTTCTTTCTCTTCCCAGCTCCAGGAAGCCTTTGGTTGGGAGCCATTCATCCGTCTCTTCACCGAGTACAGGAACCAGACCAACTTGCCCACAGAAAATGTTGACAAAATGAATCTGTGGGTCAAGATGTTCTCCCACCAAGTGCAGAAGAACCTGGCTCCGTTCTTTGAGGCCTGGGCCTGGCCCATCCAGAAGGAAGTGGCTACCAGCCTGGCCTATCTGCCTGAATGGAAGGAAAATATTATGAAATTGTACCTCCTCACACAGATGTAAGGAGTGCCCATCGAGGTGGCAGGTAGAGAGGTTTGGGGAGGTAGGCAGAGGTGGGGATTCACTCCTCTACCTCTGCCTCCCAGGGTCTGGCCTTGTCCTCTTAGTTCATTGCCCTATACCTTATTACCGACTTCTGTCTCTAGGAAGTGGGTTCAGAACACAGCCAAAAGTGGAATCAGAATTTCTCAGGTGCAAGGGCTTCTGTTTCTGCATCTTGTTCGTCTGCTTTCAGCTGTCACATTCCCTCCTGACCCTGCACTGGCCCAGTTCCAAGAGCTTTGGCACCTGCTTCTATATCAGCCCTGGATTCACCATCATAGGTCATAGCCCAGAGGGGGTAGTTCTCATGTTGGCATCCTGAAGACTCCCTTTGGGCTTTTGTTTTTGAACAGTTGTTCCAAAAACTTGACCATAAAACTCAACTGGAACACAAATTTACCGTGAGACCCAGATAGCTCTTGGATGGACTCATATATTTTGTGACTTGAGTAGTTTTCAAAGTAGACAAGCATTCTGGTATAGTGGGAAGAGCCCAGAACTAGGTAGGGTTAGCTCTCGGGAAAGTCATTTCAACTTGGTACTCTCATTTCCTGTGTGTAAAATGGGGATAAAAATTCCCAGTTCACAGGGTTGTCGTGGAGGTTCAGAGTGATAAATTCTGAAGAGGCTTGTGAGGTCTGCAGAGCATGTCATCTAAGGGGATTTTCTATTTTATGCTGGTCCACAGGATAATGAGCTTACTACTTTCCATCCTGTCTCCAGAATTTAGAGGTTAGGATAACTCTCTCTACAAGTAGCTTCCCTGTGTTCAAATCCTGGTTCTTTCACCTACGAGTTGTATAACCCTGGCAATTTCCTTAACTTCTCTGTGATTTAGTTTTCTCATCTATAAAATAGGATCTATCTCATAGGATCATTGTGAGGATTACATTTTATAATACCTTTAAAAAGCAATGAGAACCGTCCCTGGCAGGTAGTAGGTGTTGAGAAAATGTCTGCTGCCATTATTATTATCTAATTGACTCAATACTCTTTATGAGCTAGACTTTATTTTTAGATGACATTTACAGAGGCAGTTGTAGTTAATCCTAGCCCATCTTGCACTTTATACAGCAACTTCTGAAAGGATTCTGCTATGTTGCCTTATGAATCTAAAGGAAGAACTCTAAATTCACAATGGGTTTTTTTAAATAGCTAAAAAATTTTGTTTCTTTTTAACTTAGATTTGTAAAGCTATTTATAAGAACCTCATTGTGAATTTGGAGCTCTTCCTTGGATCTCCTTATCCAATTGTATTTTACAGATCCAATTCCTTCTTTGATTAAATCAAGAGTAGATGTCTTGAAGAAACCAGATCAATTCCATAATGACATTTGTCCTTAGCAAACAGAGGGTATCTGGTTTCATGACAGTGTTTTTATTTCTGTAACACAGATTCAAGACATAGTGCCTGTCAAGAGTTACTCAACAGTTTGGCAGACGAAGTCCACACACATAGAGGACTTTACTCTGAAACAAGATGATTGGATAGAGTTGACCCAAACTTATTTCTTTTTAATTTTATTCAGAATCCCCTATTTCTTTACAGTTTTAACTAAAGTTGGGTCCTTTTGGTTGATGTCATATACATCCAGCCAGTTTTTCTTTAGCTCACTTTTTATTTTAGTTATTTTAATATATCATTTTATTTGCTTAATTGGTAATTGGGTAGATATGTAGACTGTAAGATTTGACCTATAGAGTTTTTTCTTTGGATTTTTGTTTGTTTGTTTGAGATAGCGTATCAGTCTTGTCACCCAGGCTGGAGTGCAATGGCACCGTCTCGGCTCATTGCACCCTCTACCTCCCAGGTTCAAGCGATTCTCCTGCCTCAGCATCACAAGTAGCTGGGCTTACAGGTGCCCACCACCACACCCAGCTAATTTTTTGTATTTTTAGTAGAGATGGGGTTTTGCCATGTTGGCCAGGCTGGTCTCGAACTCCTGGCCTAGGTGATCCACCCACCTCGGCCTCCCAGTAGATTTCTTTGTCATGTTATTTGTCGGTCCTAGGATTATTTCTCCTGATTGCACAAATATCCATTGCCTAGGTGCTTTAAACATGAGACATTGGATATTTGTTCAACATTTAAAATAATTGTTATCAATTATTGGGTGTGTACCAGTTATTGTAGTGATTCCTTTCTATAGATTGTTTCATTTAATCTTCACAATAATCTCATGACATGGCAACCATTATCACTCCCATTTTATTTTATGAACGAGAGAACTGAAGTTAAGGAAGATAAGGTAAATTATCTAAGGCTATATTGCTAATAAGTGGTTGATCTGGGATTTGAATTCAGGCATTCTGATTACAGAATGGGCATTCATAACTACAGTGCTTTGAATGACCCCATCAATGGGTAAATAAAGAAGCCGACCAGCAAACCAAAGGATCATTATGTTCCTACTTGCCAGAGCTTTGGCTGCATATACTTACCTATCATCTACTTTTATCAGAACAAAAAATCATTTTGTTTATCCCAAATGACAATTCAAAGAATTTAAGGTAGGCTCCTGAAGTGCTTCCCAATAGATAGTGCTGGAGTGAGCCCTTTAGCATCAGCCAGATCTTTTAGGTTCTGCATTACTCAAATTTCAGTTATTCTTTCTAGGGTACCATGAAAGTGTTCTCTAGTTTGTTGGATTTTGAATGATGGACTATTTCAGTGAAGTGCCTGACTCCCAGAGATCCCAAACACTGCATGTTCTCAGAGAGGAAATTAGATCCTCCATCTTTGAGAATATGTGTATCCATCCTTGCCCTCTTTAATATATTTTTAGCAGTACATCCCGGGGATATATTTAAAATATAAAGTTATCCATGTTACTTCCGTGTCTAAAAGCCTCCACTGGAATTTCTAATTTGAGATAATGGAGTAAACATAAGTTTACCTTCCCTCCCTCCCCAGGCCCCACTGAAATTGAAGTCAAGAAATGCAAAAAGGAACTGACACATCTCAGCAAAGAAAACTGAAGGGATTTGGTTATAAGTGGAGAGGATCTCAGCATATTTCTGGAAGATAGAAAGTGGATGAAGCATGATAATGAAAGAGTGAAGAACCTTTCAGATAAAATGTAAGCTGATCTGAACAACATAACCCCAAAGAGACTTGCGCACCTGAAAAGCTTGTCTACTGAAGAATTACTCCAGTTGTAAGATTGAGCCCTCTCCTACTCTCCCCCAACTCTTATGCACAGAACACAGGCAGTCTCCACTATTGATACCAGTTAAAAATTTCTTGTTATTGTTGCTGTTGTTGTTTGTATAAAGGAATTGAACAGGCTGCTTGCAGAGAGATAAGAGTTGGTGCTCCAGAAAAAAATTTCTCTTCTAGTGGAAATAAGTGCCCCTACCCCCAGCCGGTCAGCTAATTCTCTACTGACAGCTGAGACCTCCTACTCAAGTGCCTGTTGCCTTCAGGTATAGAAGAGGTTTCCTGAAGAAACAGACCTAACTGTACAACAGCAGAGGAAACCCATGCCAACTGTTATACAAGTTAACAGTTATGTTGATTCTTAAATGGGAATGGTGAGTTAGAAATTCCCAGACATGGGCGATGGGGAGGGAAGAGGAATAAGAAAAGTCACGAGGTAGAATTAGGGGCCTTGAAAATATGACAAACTCTGAGGGAAACAAAGACAATGTGGAAAGAATAACTTAATTTTAATTCCATCTCCAGAGAGATTTGAGGTGTATTTAAGATGAAAAACAGGATACTACAAAGAAACGGAAAACTCAGGAGTTCGAGACCAGCCTAGGCAAGATGGCAACATCCCGTCTCTACAAAATAATTTTTAAAAATTAGCCAAGCATGGTGGCATGTGCCTGTGGTCCTAGCTACTTGGGAGGCTGAAGTGGGAAGATCACTTGAGCCCAGGAGTTCAAGGCTTCAGTGGGCCATGATGGTGCCACTGCACTCCAGCCTGGGGGACAGAGTGAGACCCTGTCTCTTAAAAAGCAAGAAAAGAAAGAGAAGACTGAGAATAAGAAGATCTCTTTGAAAATAAAATAAGACTGCTAAAAGTATTTGGTATACAGTCTGGAAAATAAAGTTGAGGGAATCTCTCCAGATAAAGAGCAAAAAGAAATAGATAGAAAAATATAAAGAAAGAAAAAAGACATAGACAATCAATATGTAATGTTAGGAGTTCCTGGAAGAGAGAACAGAGACAGTGTAGGTGAAGAAATAAAAAGAAAAAGAATTGAAGAACAGAGCAAGCTAAGTCTCCAGATTGAGAGGGCCCAATACAATCTACATCTAGACACAATATTGTAAAATTTTGGAATATTAAGGATAGAAGGAAGATATTAAAGTGGCCAGGGAGAAAACAAATGAGGTCATCACGATTAGCTCAACACAAAAATGGATGAGAAATAGACTGCTAACAGATTTGTCATCAGCAACACTGAATGCCAGAAGTCAATGGATCAACATCTTCAGAGCTTATGGAAAATTTTTGTACCTAGAATTTCATAGTAAGGCAGACTGTCAAGAAGAACATCAAAGTGAAGACATTTTCTGTCAGGCAAATTTTCAGAAAGTCTCCCTCCTTTGCACCCTTACTGAGGAAGTATCTTGAGGAAATTCTCCAGCAAAATGAGGATGAAAACCAGGAAAGAAGAAGAAATGGGATCCATAAAACAGTGGACCTTACTTAGGATGTCTCATTCTAGAGTGACAGCCAAAAGGGTATCTCACCCTAGAGTGACAGCTATCCAGCAGACTAATTTCAGATGAGAGCATACTGTCTCGGGCTTTCTGGGAAGAATGTGCATTCAGTGCCATAGATAGTATCATTGAAGAGCTGGGATGCTTGAGAAGATTATTTAGTCAAGAAAAAAGAAAGACAAATCAACAATATGTCAAAAAATTCAGGTCCAATTATAGAGCAAAATAAAATGAGGCATGATTTTGAGTTATTCATGAAGAATAAGAAGAGGCTTCATAGGTACATTTCCTTTTCTATGGCACAGGCATGATGATATTGGGTGTGTAGGGAAGAAAATATCCTAGCTTATACTAGGCTCCCAGTAAGAAGTATTTAAATAGCCAAAATAATGTGGATATCATTTATTAGTATTCAGTGTTCAGATCAGCCTATTAACAAAGTGTGAAAGGTTTCATTTTTTATTCAGAACTGAAGTTGAAAGTAATTAATGCTGACAAAGGGAAAGAAAGCAGAAAGAGATTGAGAATTAGAGGAAGAGAAGTGGAATCAAAGGTAGAGATACTTATATATTCAAAGTGGGGATGAAAAGATCTTCAGTTAATGGAACAAGAACTAGAGGATTAGTGTATTGTTCAAAGCTATAAAATCAAACCAATAGATGTATTAAAAAGTGATGTAACTATCAGACATTTGGAGAGAGATGGACAAAGGAAAGTGGCGATAGTGTAAGTTAAATCCTTATCTTTTGTAATGGGGAATTATTAAAGATGTTGTAAAGTCAGTAAGTCAAGAAATTATTGCTCAAACATATTATTTAAAGTTAGAAAGTTAGTTACCAGACGATCTAAAATAAATATTGTTAAAAGCATTACCTCTAGGGAATGGGATTTAGATTTAAAAAGGGTGGGATGGGAAACTGTGTTTTTCATTTTAAGTCCTTCTGTACTATTTAATTTTTTACCTTGTGCATGTATTACTTTGAAAAAATTTTTAATAAACCCAAATAAAAATCTTCCAGTGACTTCCCATTGATTAAGATGCAACCCAGCTAAAGCCTTTAAAATGGTTTTCAAGGTCCTCAAGTATCTAGGTCCACTTGATGTGTCCAGGCTCATGATATCTCCCCACAAGTCTCTATTTCCAGCCAGATTAAGTATCTTCCAGTTATTAAAACACACTTCACATTCTTTTGTTTGTATAGGTGTTCCACAAAAAACAAAGCCTACTGCTGATCTCACCATGTCTGCTGAGTAAGCTTACCATCTAGTGGGTTTTAATATTTGTTGAATGAAGGAATGTCCAATACAGCATTGAATGAAGTTTGCCAACTTCATTCTTTTCCAAGAAGGCCTTTGATGTTTGCCCCTGTTCTGGGAAACATTTCAAGAAGGACCATCCAGGGCCCTAAGCTTTCCTGCATTTTGTTCATTATTTTCTGGTTGTTTTGTTTATCCTTTGTTCCTTTCTTCCTCTCTCATGTTTATGTCTGTGGCTTGATTAGGGTATTTGTTGTGTTAAGCTTTGATTCCTTTCTCTTTCTCATTTGTATATCTGTTGTAATTTTTTCTTTGTGGTTAGTATTGGGGTTACATTAAAAATCTCTCATACTTATAATAGACTATTTTAAGCTGATAACAAGTTAACTTTCATTGCATACCAATACTCTAGACTTTCATTCTGCACCCAAATTTATAATTTTGTTGCTTTAATATACATCTTTATATATTGTTTATTCCTTAACAACTTATCATTGCTATAATCATTATTCCAATTTTCACTTTTTGGCATCCCACAGAGCTGCATTTTTTTAATTATTATTATTTTTTAAATGGGGTCTCATTATGTTGCCCAGGTTGGACTCAAACCCCTGGGCTCAAATGAGCCTTCCATTTCAGCCTCCTAAATAACTGGGACTACAAGCACATGCCACAGCACCCAGCTGTTTTGGCTTTTAACCTTCATACTAGAGGTTTGAAACATTACATATCACCATTGCAGTAATGAAGCATTATGAATTTGATAATGCATTTATCTCCAGCAGTGAGATTTATACTTCATGTTTTTTTATGGTAGCAATTATCATAAAAACTTTTTTTTCCAATAGAAATACTCAAGCATTTCTTGTAAGTCTGGTCCAGTGGTAATGAGTTCCCTCAACTTTTGCTGATCTGGGAAAGACTATTTCTCCTTCATTTCTGAAGCAAAGATTTGCTGGTATAGTATTCTAGGCTAGCAGCTTTTTTTCTTCTAGTATTTTAAATATATCATCCCATTCTCTCCTGGCCTGCAAGGTTGCTGCTGGGAAATCTGCTAATAGTCCAATGGCAATTCCCTTATATGTGACTTGATGCTTTTCTCATGCTGCTTTTAGTATTTTTTTCTTTGTCTTTGACTTTTGACAGTTTGGTTATATGCCTCAGAGAGGACCTCTTTGAGTTGAATCTTTGTGGGATCCTTTGAACTTCATGGATCTGGATGTCCATATCTCTCCAAGACTTGGGAAGTTTTCAACTATTACTGTGTTAAATAAGCTTTCTTTGCCTTTCTTCATCTCTTCTTCTTAAGTTGCCAAAATGCAAACATTTGTTCACTTATGGTGTCCCATAAATGCCATAGGCTTCTTCATTCCTTTTTTTTTTTCTTTACCTCTGACTGGACTATTTCAAAAGGCCTGTTTTCAAGTTCAAAAATTCTTCTGTTTGATCTATTTTGCTGTTGAAGCTCTCAATTGCGTTTTTTATTTCATTCATTGAATTTCTTGGCCCCAAGATTTCTATTTTGTTCTTTTTTATGATATCTCTCTCTTTGTTGAATTTCTCATTCAGATCATGAACTGTTTTTCCCGATTGTTGAATGATCCGTTTGTGTTCTTTCATGTCTCACCAAGTTTCCTTAGGCTCACTATCTTGAATTCCTTTTCTGGCAATTCATAAATTTTTATTTTTTTATTGGGGTCAGTTACTAGAGAATTATTGTGTTTCTTTGGTGGTGTCATGTTCCCTTGCTTTTTTATGTTTCTTGTATCCCTGCACTGGCATCTGTGCATCTGATGGAATAATCACCTTTTCTAACTTTGTAGCATAACTTTCAGCAGAAAAGACTTACACCTGCAGATGTGTCCTAGCATGTTGGTTGGGTAAGGTACATTTGTTTTTGTTCTGGGTGGATGCAGTAGTGTAGTCTCCATGCAGCTTCTTTAGCTGTAGTTAATGTCAGTGGTGCCTGCAAGTACCTCAGTGGCCTTGGCTGCAGAAGTTTGTGTGGCTGGTATGCCCACTCAGCTGCTTGTCCCCTGAAGGCTGGGCACTTAGCTGGTCTGTTTTCTGAGGATCCATGGCTGGTAGGTTCTCCTTCGGTGCTTATCTCTTGGTGGCTGCATAGTGAGCTGGTCTGTGCTCTAGGGAAGTGCAGGGCTGGTTGTCCAGTAGCTCTGCTCAGTTGCTGCTCCTCTGGAGGCAAGGCACCAGACTGGTTCATACTCACTACCAGGTTACCAGGTTTTTTGTGTCCTACTATCCCTAGTTTCTTGGTAACTGTTCCTTCTCCATCTTCATTAACATTTCTGTCTGAAGGTAAATATTTGTATAATACAAAGACCTTTTCTTACCTGAATTAGCATCTGTCCTATTTTCCATGTATCATAATAGAGATTTACCCTCACAAATGGGAGTAGTTTCCAGATTGCCCATGTTATCACAGAAATAACCCAAATTATTTTATCTTCTGCCACACCACTGAGTCTGAATTTCTGTAAAGAGAAATTGAAATATGTCATGAGTTTACTTTCCTCTGTTGTCTAACTCCCATAGTCAACTGGAGCTCTCTGATGAGTATTGGCCTTGCAGCCAATCTTCAAAGCAGTATTTATCAGAAACACTTCCTATCTCCTCTTCACGGGATTAATCTGATCTATTTAGTGCTTAAAGCAATGTCCTCACCCAAGGTCAAAA
Organism: Homo sapiens; assembly: GCF_000001405.40. Classification (NCBI taxonomy): domain Eukaryota; kingdom Metazoa; phylum Chordata; class Mammalia; order Primates; family Hominidae; genus Homo; species Homo sapiens. The sequence goes on from NC_000007.14 coordinate 143,613,505, forward strand.
CCTCACCTAATATATGTACCTAACAGGCCAACAGGTAACTAGGCCTTAGATGTTGACTCTTTTTTGCCAACAAAAGTAGCAGACTCTATCCCTTCTTTCAAGACTATTTCCCTCCTCTGTTCTCTACTCCTTACAAAGCCTTTGTACTCCTGCTTGGCTTCTACTCTTAAAATGATTTCTTTCTTTGACCCACATCATTGCAGTCAGTCTTCAATAGGGAGGGGGCAGAAGGTGATCTTCAACTTCTCAGAGATCTTTCTTCTAACTACACAAAAAAAACAACTTACCTCACAATCAAGACAACTAAGAAATGCTTCCTATGCATTTGGATTCTTGTGCATTTCAGTGCTATAAAGAAGCATTTCTTTGATAGGAAAGCTTGAGTAGCTTAAGTTATTGATGTTCTAGTCTGAGACTGGGTGCGTTTCATAGGTGCTCATTATATTAGAAATAAATAGAATAAAGGGATGAGTAAATAAAGATAAATAGAGGTTGGGAAGCAACTGCAACTTTAAAAAAAAATGTAGTGACCAATGATTACAGTTAGGAACCAAGGTTTATTTTAATACAAATATGTGTACCTGAAGGTCATTAAAAAGTTACTTCTATTCTTAGGAACTCAAATATACATAATTGGTTAAGAAATCTGTACATGTAGGTACTAAAAAAATATTTCCATGAATCGCTTAGTGACATAAAATTCATTTTTCACATACTGCCAAAATTATTTAGAATATTTAAAGTCTGAGATAGTGCCCAAAGGGGGTTAGGGGAGGACAAAATGATCAAACATACAATATAAAAACAATCTATAAAAGAGTCTAGAAGAGATCTCACAGGTTTAGAGAGAAGACCCCTCTTCTTCCTGAACAGACCCCGTAGGCCAGGGCCCAGCAGGCTTACCTATTGTCTGTGGTTTCTGTGCTGCAAACAGGAGCCTAAAACCTGCAAATAGGTTATAAACCTTTTCTTGACCCTCCACCAAGGTAGATAGGCAAGTGGAGCTTTAATAAAACAGAGTTTTTCCTTTTCTTCTTGCTGCTTGTGTAGCCTTGGAGCCGACCTATTCCAAAGGAGAAAATAATAAGCCTTAATTAAGGCTTTTGACATTTAACCACAAGACAACTGGCACTATGAGCTTGTTGCTCTCAACACCTAGAGCAGAGTTAAATCTCAGATCCTCATAGAAAACTCTGAGATAAACTATTTCAGCTGGCAAAAGCATTAAAAGACAAACAACTGACTTGTGTCCGTAATGTTAGAGTGACCTTTAGCAGAAAGCCTGGTGGATCTCTAGCACTGGTAAAAGTACTTTTGGCTATAGGGCATTATTAATGTTATTAACGCACTAATAGTACATAATATTATTAATGCCCTACAGCCAAAGACCAATGGAAACACATCTATAATTAAACAAGTTGAATCTGTTGTTCATTGCAGCTAGGGAAAATGCACACCATAGAGAACTGTGGGTATATCAGTAAAAAGGTGTCAGAAAGAACCTATTATAGGCTGTGGGCTTTGGTTGGATAGTTTTGGGAAGTGTCTGAAGAAGGGAGACTTTGTTTTGGATGACATACTGTCAAGAACCAGAAACAATTCTACAACTACGATCTCAATACATATACAAGGAGAGCTGACTAAAATAAGCATAAAGGCTGGGCGCGGTGGCTCACGCCTGTAATGCCAGCACTTTGGGAGGCCAAGGTGGGCAGATCACCTGAGGTCAGGAGTTTGAGACCAGCCTGACCAACATGGAGAAACCCCGTCTCTACTAAAAATACAAAATGAGCCGGGCATGGTGGCGCATGCCTGTAGTCCCAGCTACTCAGGAGGCTGAGGCAGGAGAATCGCTTGAACCCAGGAGGCTGAGGTTGTGGTGAGCTGAGATTGCACCATTGCACTCCAGCCTGGGCAACAAGAGTGAAACTCTGTCTCAAAAACAAACATAAATAAAATGAGAATAAAGCTGCGATTGGTTTCTAAAACGTGCAATTACTCATTTTAGATAACAGAAGGATGATCAGTATTTTGTGGGTTGCATGGTGATCGTGTATGTGCCTTACTTTATGACGGTCTCTGAGTGACCTTATCTGATGTTGATGTTTTCTGAAATTGTTTTTGTACAATGGGAGAACAATATGGCCTCGCTGTTAGCGCCAGACAAGTTTCTGGATGGCAGGAGCTGCTGCTTTTTTTTTTTTTTTCTCAGTTCAAAGGTTTAAAAAGGGAGAACCTTTGCTCTTCTTATAGAGATTGAAGTCTGCATTTCTCTTGATTGACCACAAGGGACAGACTGAAAAAAAAATAATAGCAGAAAGTATGCATGATGTACCTTGGGAAAGGATAGTTCCGTACAGATCCCCTAGACTTGGTGGAAGTCTTGGGGCAAACCAAAATGAAATTAAGACTACACGTCTCAATATATAGTGAAAAGCCTTGAGAAGGAATGATCTTGATGTCACAGGAACTTTGTAATTAGTCCACTGGGAAATAATTGTTTACATTTTCAAATAAGTAAATAAATAGACAATAATAGTCGCTGGTCCCATAGGAGTAGGGATTTAGACTCACTCTCTGTAGGAATTTTCTTATATAGTATTGACCTACTATGACCCTCAATTCCCATACACTATCCCCCGGCATATTGATATCTACAACCCTTGTGGGATTGTGAATGAAGACATTTATATTACACTGATGTAGGTGCAATTAAAGAAAATTGGATCTACTGAGCACCTGTCCAATGAACCTGATATTTCAAAGGCAGAAAGAGAAAAAGGACATCCACTCTCATTCTTGGGCTAACTCAGTTCCACTGGCTCCAAGACAACTGAAATCTTCAGGACAAAATCAAACTTTATGTCTGGTCTGGTGGTGGGAGAAACAGTTTATAAATGTAAGAATATCTCTTCTCACCCCCACCCCAGCCATGTTCCTTACTAGAGGAAGAAAGTTTCAGTACCTCTGGAGTGGCAGTGATGTGTTCCAAGACATCCTCTGTGATTGGAATATAACTGGCTCTTACCACGTATGTTTCACACACTTATGATCCAAACAGAAAAAAAAAATGTATGCCCAAGTATATTTTACAGATATGCCAAAAGCAGAATATGAAAACTTTTATAACTCTGAATTAGGGCTGGCCGCTTGTCAAGAGAAGCAACAAACTCCCCCATTGCTTCAAAGTTCCACTGTTTTCAATGAAGACGCAGGCAGGAACTTGCCCTTGGAGATAGGCCATGCTACAATTGGAATAAAAGTTATTATAAATGTACTAAAGAATGAAACTTAATGGGTGAGTGTTTCATAGATACTCTCAAGTTAGTAACCTTGCTTTTTACTTCCACTACAACACAATTTTAGTAATTACACTTGAGAGATTTAAAGTGAGGAGATATAATTATGACAGTACTTGTGTTATTCTGGGTCCTCCAAGAAGCAAAAGCCAAGACAGGATCAGATATGCGAGAGATTTATTAAAGGAAATGCCTGTGAGAGAAAATGTCGAGGGAGCCAGAGAAGGCCGGGAGAGCCACCATTAGACTGCAATGTAGGTTTAACCCTTGGGAAGGAGACAGCAAAGGAAAGACAGGCTTCCACTGAAGTACAGGTCTCAGAGAGTTTCTTTCAGGACCATGAGGAGTCCTTGAGCCAAACTCACCTATCGGGAGAGTCCCATGTCTTCCAGGAATGGGCCTGCCTGAGGATCCTCACTACATTTGATCACCAGCCTGGAGAAGCCCCTGGCAGCATGGCCTTGGCGCCAAGGATTCCAGAGCACACCAGCTGGGGCCATCTGGCAATTTCATACCCACCCCCTGCAGTTGGACATCTGAGAGGAACATTTTCATCACCACCATAGTACTCATTCTTAAGGCAGCTGTAGACACCTGTTCTGGATCATCTTAAATAGTGACTTAGTGAACTTCCCCAGTGACTCATACCAGTAAATGTCCATAGGTGGATTCATCCATCTCTGTTCCTAAATTAGAGTGTGGCTAATTCTTCCCAGATTCTTAAGGTCCTTAAAAGAAAGAATATATGGTACCACATTAAGTTAAGCTCATGACTGAAAATAATTTAAGAAGGAGGCCAGTGACTATTAATAGTAGCCCACAATTAGAAGGCATATGTATGAGTAACCCCTGCATCTGGCTTAGTGATAAACTGCAATTACTGCAGCAATTGCTCTCTATTTGACAAAAAATGGACTCATGTACCACTGGTAAAGATAATATTTCTGATTTGTGTTTGCCTCTTGTATATGCTGGACAATGAAGTATAATATTGTTTATGTATATTTATTACGTATAACCCAGAAAGAGTCTGTCATGGAAGCACAAGAAGTATGAGTTAGCCTGCCTGATTTAAGCTAATACAGATCTATCCTTGGAAATGGAGATGAATTCATTGTCCCCTGAATCTCATAAAGGAGAGGTGGATTATCTGATTTAAAAAAAAAATGGATTTGGTTAGAAAGGACAATAGGGGTAGTGTAGGGAATAGATGTTGAGGAGGCAACCACAGTGTTTACTAAATGGTGCTTTTAAAAAATCTTCCTCCACACTGTAGAATGGAATCCAAACTCCCTAGTATGGCAGCCAAAGTCCCTCTAAACCGAGCCCAAACTTCTCTTTAGAGCTAGCACTATGCAAGTTCTGCTAACAAGTTTCAGTCACTATGAACATTTTGTCTTTCTCAAATTAAGCCTTTCACATTCATATCTCTGTGCTTTGGAATCTTATACAGCCTCACATTGTAATACCTTCCCCTTTATCTCCCCGCAAATATACATTTTTCTAAGCTGAGTTTCTGTGTCACCTTCTGTGCACATTCTTCTCTAATCCTTTGATCAGAAATAATTGCTGCTTCTTTTATGTGCCCTTGCACCTGATTCGTAGCCAATTTTGGTATAGTTGTTTTCTTGTCTTTTTTCCTCTCTAGATTTACTGACCATAATAGCATTTCTATCTCCCAGAGTGCCTCACAGAATAAGTGTCCAGTAAGGATATGTTGACTTTCACTGAATGGCGTCTGTTTTCTCCCAAGTAAAAGGAAAGATCTGGGGCCTGCACCTTTGCATAAGCAGTAACCATTTCGAAGCTTATCCAACCCACCTTATTTTCGTTGTTGTTGTTGTTGTTCCGTTTTCTTTTATTTTAGGTTTCTAGCTGCCTGAACTCACGGTTTTTAGTTTCTGTCTCTAGTGAAAGGGGAAAAGAGGGATGAGGAAGGGGTTTTACTCGCCTAACCAAAAACAGAAACTAAGAACCCATGACTGTATTCTCTCTCGGACACCCTTTAGTCAGAACGTAAATGCTGGTTACCATCTTTAATCTTTTTTTTCTTCTTTTTTTTTTTTTTTTTTTTTTTTAGGAACCGTTATGCCGTTCCTATGTTGTTAGGTTCCATTCCTCAGGCAGCTCCTGCTCCCAAATGGCAGGTACTTTCTGCTCTCTGACCCTGGAAAAATCACCTTTGTTTAAAGCCCCTTTCTTCTATTAGAGCAACACCAAAATACTCTCAGGAGTTAATTTAGAACAATAGTAGTACTTTACCATGAGGAGTGAGGTTGATGTAGGTGGAGACTGGTTAAAACCTAAGAGTACAAACACACAAAAGATACCGAGCCAGCTTTTTGTTGTTGTTGTTGAGACGGAGTCTCGCTCTGTCGCCCAGGCTGGAGGGCAGTGGCATGATCTCTGCTCACTGCAACATCCGCCTCCCGGGTTCAAGCAATTCTCCTGCCTCAGCCTCCCGAGTAGCTGGGATTACAGGCCTGTGCCACCACGCCCGGCTAATTTTTGTATTTTTAGGAGAGACGGGGTTTCTCCATGTTGGCCAGGCTGGTCTTGAACTCCTGACCTCAGGTGATCCACCCACCTCGGCCTCCCAAAGTGCTGGGATTACAGGAGTGAGCCCCCGCACCCGGGCCTGAATCAGCTTTTAACGTGGAACTTTACTGACCCACTTTCTTTGATGTCCATCTCCCACTTCAGCTCCCAAAGGTCAGTTGTTCCCTGATATGAAGCCTAAGAACTCAACGTACTTCACCGCACGTTGGATTTCTAGCCGGAATTATTCCAAATTCTGGCAAGTCTTATCCACAATTTCTTTTCTGTGTAAGTTTCTCCTTGCTCTTTATTTCTGAAACCTGAATGTATTTGGTCCTCTGCCAATCAGATTTCCACTAGTCCTCCGAAGAGTCAGTTATTAACTCACTAATTCGACAGATATTTTTGGACGTTCACTATATCCTTATTTATTTAGCATATATTTAGTTATTTATTAAGAAACTAAAGCCTATTCTATGTCAGAAATGAAAATAGGCAATGAGGACTCAATGGTGGGCAAAATGCAGACAGACTACTTTTTTCCCCTCATTCTAGCACAGTCATCACTTTCCTAGGTAAGACGTTCCTAAACTCCAGACTACACCAAATCCTCCTCCTGACCACACCCTTCCACCTTGATTTTCACCTTCTGACCTCTCTTGCGTAGAAATTCGAGCACCAGCCACTCTATAGCTTTAGCTTAATTTCTCCAGCCATGCACGGACGAATCTGTGTTAGTGATGCCACAGGCACGTTTCCCTCCCAGCAAGAATATAACTTGCTGGGCAGCATTTCTGTGGATACTTTGAGAGAAAAATGCCCTAGTTGAGCACCCCGCACCATGGCCATAAGCATCCACCGGGCTCGAAGTGCATGGCCCGCAGCTGACCACTAGGGGGCAGCCCTCCACGCAGAGGCTCGAGCGACGGAGGCGACGCGGCGGCTACCGGCTCTGCTGAGCCCACCCCAAGATCGGAGGGAAGGGAGCCTGATTCCACGCGGGGCCTCCCCCGTGGCATACGTTGTTGTTAGGGAACTATTCGCCCCAAATATGGTTTATTGGAGACTTAGGGTTTGCTTTTCTTATCAAGTGCGACAGCAAACTGGCTGGGTCCCCTCTCGCATCCAAGAACCCGCAGAGACCCTGAGGGAGCCGGTTTGGGGCCCCATGCAGGCCAAAGCATCCCTCCGGGAAGGCGGGGTCGCTCACCTGGTAGGCGCCCCGAGAGCCCGCAGCACGGCCCGAGGTGGGGTCCACCGATGGAACGGGAGACCACGGGCGTGGCTCAGGGAGCGGTAGCCGCGCCCCGGGCCCGCCTCAGGGTCGGCTCCGCCTCACCCCAGCCTGTGCCCCGCCTCCGGGACAGCCCAGTTTCCGAGACCTCCTAGCCTCCAAGACAGCCCCGCCGCCAGAACAGCCTCTCCTCCAGGACCGGCCAGCCTACGAGAGAGCCCCGCCTACGGTACAACCCGCCTCCGGGACCGCAGGACTCCACCTCCGAGACAGCTCAGTCCCCAGGACAGTCCCGCCTCCGAGACGGCCCCGCCTCCAGGACGGCCCCTACCTCCGAGACCGCCCCGCCTCCGGGACCGCCCCGCCCCGCCTCGCCTCCGACCCGTCCCCCGCGCGCCACTGCAGAGCCTGTCCGTCAGTCCCTAGGTATCCGCACTGCTCAGGGGTGAGTTTTCCAATCCCAGCGGGTCCTGGGGTGGGGGCGGTAGCTGAGCACCTAGGGCACTGGGGGTCGCCGCAAAGTGCTGGAGGCCCCAGACCATACCCGGCGTCAGGGGGTGTCCCTCCCTTCTTAGGTCTAGGTCTTTGGTTTCATTTCGTTTTGTTAGTCTGGTGCTATTTGCAGTTTGTCTCAAAACACGTTTCTCCCTCCTATTTGAACTTGTAAATTACGAATTTGACAAAGATGTGCATGGTGTGTGCGTGCACGAGGGCACATTTCGTTGCGGAATGCTGGGTCAGCTTTCCGGGACATATTACTCATCTGAGGTTTTTTGTCTGTTTTTGTTTATCCTGTCAAACTGGTACTGCCCCAGAAGTGAAAGACGTCGCTTGTCTTCTGGGAGGTAGCTAGCACGATCTTGAGCTCAGGCTTCCGGATCTCTCTCGGCTGCTTTTTTCCACTGGTAACTTCTGAGGCTGAGATCAGGTACCCGCATTCTCAATGCTCTGCCGAGTATTGGCTCTCTTTTGTGAATTTCTTTCCCGCGAGCAGTATTAAGAAAAAGGTGGCGGATAGGAAGGGAAGAGGGGAAGAGATGGAATTCTACAGGAAATGCAGGGCATGCTCAGAATGCCAACCTTTCCGAGCTTGGAGAGATTTAGTGGAAGAAAGTAGCAGGAAAAACGTCCAGTAATCACTGGCATGCCAGACCCTGGAGAAGCCAGGCTGAGGCGCTCTGCAAGTTTCACCTTAGAGAGAGTGGACGAAATGTAACGGTTCTTGTTAGAGTTCTTGTAGAGGACGATTGTGGATGAGAATACATCCTGGGGACTAAAACCATATTGGTTTAGTCTGGAATGATTGCCAACTAAAGGGACTGATGTTTGAGAGAGATGGTGAGAGATTAACCAAATGAGGTGGTTGACTGCATATAGAAGCAGGAGGGAGAGAGGAAGGAGGCACTTGTGGCTCAAGGGCTTGGTGTGTGTTTTAGTTTAGATTCTGCCCTAAAGCAAAGCCTTATGCAAGGGCTTACCTGCAGGTAATTTTTTGGGGGTAAGTGAGACCAAAAAGCCCAAATGAGGAAGTGGAGAGAATGAGACAAGGAAAAAAGGGAAAGCCAGGAGGAGCATGTGGCTGAGGGTCTTCCACATGGCGCTCCTTTCCTCCGGGTGCCTTCCGAGGACCTCTGATGGGCACCTCGGGAAAGCCACGGGGCACTCTTCTGTGAATCCCCGCTCTACTGGGCGAAGCTCACCCTAGTGTCAACTCACCGCTACTTCAGGGCTGCCTTGTGCACCTGCAGAGGTGAGAAGCCATCAGAGCACAGAGGAAAGTCCCTTACAGTGGGCTCGTCAGAGACGCGCAAAGGGAGGCGGCACAGGCAGCCAGGGGACTACTGCACTACTGCAATCTGCAACGCTGCCCTCGGCAACCCGGGAAACTTAAAAGGACAGCAAAGGGACAGACACTCTCGTTTATTCCGTGCTCACTGTATGTGTACCAACCCCAGACAAGGCATTTTTAGACATATTCTTTGCTTTATTTTATTTTACTTTACTTTATTTTATTTTATTTTATTTTATTTTATTTTTTGAGGCAGAGTCTTGTTCTCTCGCACAGGCTAGAGTCCACTGGTGCGATATCGGCTCACTGCAACCTCCGCCCCCCACCGTCAGGGTTCAAGAAATTCTCATGACTCAGCCTCCCCAAGTGGCTGGGATTACAGGTGCACGCCACCATGCCCAGCTATTTTTTGTAGATTTAGTAGAGACAGGTTTCGCCATGTTGGCCAGGCTGGTCTCAAACTCCTGAGCTCAGGTGATCCACCGGCCTCGGCCTCCTAAAGTGCTGGGATTACAGACATAAGCCACTGCGCCTGGCCTATCCATATTCCTTTAATCTTCAAAAACAATCTTCCCATGGCTGTATTATTCTCTTTTTGTAGATGGGGAAACTGAGACTGAAGTCATTTATCCAAGAGGGGCTGCTTAAAGGGACAAATAGTCTCAGTGTTAGGCACAGCCAATTTTAAAAGACCTCCGGAAACTGCATAATGCTACCAAATAGAGGAGGGTCCTCTCCATTAGGGCAGATTTGATAAATTAGGGGGCACTTTCCAACTTAGCAAAGCTGTCAGAAGAAAGGCATGTTTTGACAGGTCTATGACCTTTCTGTTCAAAAAAATCAAGCACTGTGTCCACTCAGGCACACGAACTTAACTATCACCTTGATTTACTGGCCCTGCAGGATCTAGCCCGTCCCTCCCTCCTCCTGGGGTCCTGCTCCTCCCTGCTCCTGGCTCTCAGCCACCCCAAAGTGGTCTCGTTGCTGGAATGCCCTTTGCTCACTGCATTTCAGGTTTCAGCTTCAATGCCACTTTGTCAGAGTCCTTTCCTATCACCCAATCTAAAGTAGTCTTCCAGTTCCTCCATGTCACATCATTGTGTTTTATTTTCATCATAGTGATTGTTGCATTTTATTTATCTGTTTATCTACCTATTTATTCATTATCTTTCTCCTTCTAAAATATTCAAATCACGAAAAGGGAAACCTTATCTGTTTTGTTTCTTGCTGTACTCCCAGTGCTAGAACAGTGCTTGGCCCACAATGGGGAATCCAGTAAAATTTGGAGGTGAATGCATTTAGTTGTTTGCTTTTTTCACCTGTTCCTTCATCTGTTCTGACCAGCAGTGCTTATCAGTATCTCTTAAATACATGAAAGTCTTTGCTTCCCCCTGCAGCAGCTGATAGAACCATGGCGACCATTGCTGCTGCTGCGTTTGAGGCCCTCATGGATGGAGTGACATGCTGGGATGTCCCCAGAGGCCCCATCCCCAGTGAACTCCTTCTTATTGGAGAAGCCGCCTTCCCCGTGATGGTGAATGACAAGGGCCAGGTGCTCATTGCTGCCTCCTCCTACGGCCGAGGCCGCCTCGTGGTTGTGTCCCATGAGGGCTACCTGTCGCATGCTGGCTTGGCTTCATTTCTCCTCAATGCAGTGAGCTGGCTCTGTCCCTGTCCTGGGGCTCCCGTGGGAGTGCGTCCATCCCTGGCACCTCTAGTAAACATCCTACAGGATGCTGGGCTTGAGGCACAGGTCAAGCCAGAACCAGGAGAGCCCCTAGGGGTTTACTGTATCAATGCCTACAATGACACCTTGACTGCAACGCTGATCCAGTTTGTGAAACATGGAGGGGGCTTGTTAATCGGGGGCCAGGCCTGGTACTGGGCCAGCCAGCACGGCCCTGACAAGGTGCTCTCCAGGTTCCCTGGGAACAAGGTGACAAGTGTAGCCGGAGTGTACTTCACTGACACCTATGGGGACAGAGACCGGTTCAAGGTCTCTAAGAAGGTGCCCAAGATCCCACTCCATGTCAGGTGAGTGTTTGTTCCCCTCTTAGGGAGTCTGACTCAGGATAAACAATAGAGTTGGTTCCCCTCTTCAACAAGCTTCCATTGCAATACAGGTGATTTTCCACTCAGTTTGGAACCACCACAAATCAAAAGCAGGATGATTAAAATGCACCAAGACACAAGAGAGGCTGGGCCCTCACTGCCACTCCCTCCTGTGGCCAAAGCTGAATAGAAAAGCTTGTCTTACCACTTTATCTCCATGTCTAGTAAATAGAACCTAGAGAGTGCTCATCAATACCTCTTAAATGCATGAAAGAATATTTGTTTGTTTGTGTGAGCACCGATTGTTGATCATGCTGCATTCTGGACAATGGGGGTCTAGCAGAGATCGAGGCAGGCAAGTCATGCCATCATGAGGTTTGTATTCCAGGGGAGAGATAGGTATTAAGGAAACTAATATATATGTGCTCTATCAGGTATTGCTAAGATCCATGAAAGATGATAATATAAGTGGATAGCATGACAACAGGAAGGCTGATGGAGGCTATTTTATTTAAGATGTTCAGGGAAGTCCTATCAGTCAGACCAAGTTGGATTGGTCAGGATTTGTTGGCGTTGCTAGCAGAAGGGATTTAGTATGGGGAATTGACTATACCCATGATAGAGGAGCTGAAAATACACACAGGGGACAGCAAGTAACCCAGAGATCAGCAACAGCAGAACCAGCAGAGGGAGATGGTGGTATTACTGAAGTCCAGGTGCTGCGGCCACCTGGTAGAAGCTGGAGCCATGCTATGCCTTCCCAGCAGGAGCTGGAACCACAGATGAAAGGTCTGTCTGCTAGAAGCTGGAGTCTCAGAGAAGACACTGTGGTTACCAGAAATACAGCCTGAAGAGAGAAGCAAGCACTTAAACTCCTTCCTTCTTCCTTCCTGATTTCAGTCTTCTACCTCTCTCTCCCATGGGCTGAACCCACCAGGATCCAGGGAACAGGAGAACCAAAGAAATGCAGTTTTCTGCAACACGGAGGATGACCAAGATGAAAGGGGAATAGAGATGAGTGCAAACAAGCTCATGGCCGGCTTGGAAGGCTGGTCTGGTAGGTAGCACTTGAAAGGAGACCTCAAGGAAGTGAGGGAATGAGCCATGTGGGCATCTGTGAGAGGAAGATTCCAGGCAGAGTGAGGAGTGAGGGTGAGAAAACCTGGAAGGGAAGCCTGCTTAGTATGTTCCAAGGGAAAGGGAGTGGCCCTTCTATAAGGTCGGAAGGCTCTGCAAAGCTCCAGGGGAGAATAGCTGAAGGCAGCTGTTCTGTGACCCTGAGGCAGAGGGCAAGGAGTAGGTACAAGGGAGTGTAGGAGAATTTGTCTTGATCAAGCCTGTTTGTTTGAAGTTGTCCAGGAGCTGACATTTGAACATCCGCACACATGATGTTCTCTGAATGAGGAACAATAAATGTTAGTCATTTACAGATTGTGTAGGCTCCAGGCTTTCGGCATTATGCCTGCAGTAAATAAAAGCAAGCAGCTTCAGCTTCTCGGGGCTGCTCTCTGGCCACTACAGCCAGGCAGTCACCTAGCTGTTCTTACACTGCATACTTGTGTCTGAGTACTCATTTCATCCATTGGCCAGGGACACACCTGGCAATCAGGGAAGCCAGAATGATGGGAACTCAGTGAATGATAGCTCAGGTCATGTAAGAACTGACAGGCCAGGAGTAGAACTTTAGACCTTATTTGCAGTGAGATGGGAAGACATTTTGTATTCTCTACAGAAGATTGCTATGATGTGACTTAAATTTCAAAAGGAACCCTCTGATTGATGGTGGAGAACAGACTGTGGGAGGCAAAGATTGAAGCAGCAGACCAATCGGGAGGCCACTGAAGTAGACCACAGGAGAGATGGTGGTGGCCCAGACAAGACTGATAGAAGCTGTGGAGCTACTGAGAACAGGTTCCATTCTGGACACACCTCAAAGGGAGAACCCAACAGGCTTGGCTGATGGAGTGAGTAAGGAAAAAGAGGAGTTGAGATTTTTGGTCTGAAAAAGACCAAAAATTAAACACAGGTGCTGCTGTTTAGTGATCTGTGAAAGGACAATGAGAAGATGGATTAGAGGAGATCAGGAGTCTCATTTTGGATGTTTTAGGTTTCAGATATTAGTGACTACTTACTTATGTTTGGCCACATGTAGCAGAAGCCTTAGTATAGCAGATTAACCATGTAGCAGTTTATTTTTTCTATGAAACATGAAGTACAGGTAGGTAGTCCAGCTCTGGGGCAGTGACTCTATGATGTCCCATGGTCAGTCTCTGTCTCCCTGTCACTGCCTGACCCTGTCATGGTGTGTTATTTTATCCTTATGGCTACAAGTTTGCCACTACTACTCCAGGCACCATAATTACACCCATGCAATAATAAATTGGAATGGATACACCTACTTTTAGTTTATAAAACCATGTATTTCCTGGAAGCCCTAGACTTCTATTTATATTTTAACGGCCAGCCTAGTTAAATCAGTAGTCCCTAGCCTTTTGGTACCAGGACCTGTTTTGTAGAAGACAATTTTTCCATGGACCTGGCAGGAGTTTCAAGATAATTCAAGTGCATTACATTTATTATGCACTTTATTTCTATCATTAGTACATTTTAATATATAATGAAATAATTATACAACCCACCATAATGTAGAATCAGTGGGAGGCCTGACTTCCAGACCTAACTACCAGGAGATCTGAAGGGCTGGCTATTTTTAAATGGGCACTGGCGTCTCTGAAGAAATCAAGATGCTGTACAAAGAAGAAGGGGCATACAGATACTAGTGAGCAGCTGGCAGTGCCCTGAACCCTCAGCCCCAAGCTCTGGACCTCTTTGAATTCCTTCCCTTCTGAGAGATTTGGGGAGGGGATGGGTTTACTCAGAGACATTGGAGTGGATCTGATTCGCTTCAACTTTTTTATTCTAATGCGAAGGGACAAGCAGGTGAAATCTCATCACTATAATGCCTCTTAATTGCCCCAAGGGATTCTCCTCTCTAGCTAACTCAACCTGTTTTTCTTCATCTATATCTACATTTTTAATCCCTGCCACCGATTCTAAGGTATATTTTGTGTGTTTGTTATTTTAATTCTTAATTACTGAAAATATTAAACATATGCAAAAGTAGACAGAATAGTACAATGAACCCCCATGTAGCCATTCCCCAGTCCCCAAAATAGTCAACTCCAGGTCTGTCCTATTTCACCTGTAGCCCCACTCTTCCCCACCCAAGATTATTTTGAAGCAAACAGCAGACATCATGTCTTTTCATCTGTAAGTATTTAAATATATATCTCTAAAGGTATGAAGTCTTTTAAAAACATAACTGCAAGTCATCATTATCACACCTAAAAGAATAATTCCTTAGTGTCATCATTTATTTCCATGATTGTCTTATTTTTCAAAATGTGTTAACATTGGGCCAGGCATGGTGGGTCATGCCTGTAATCCCAGTCCTTTTTGGGAGGCCAAGGCAGGTGGATCACTTGAGGTCAGGAGTTTGAGACCAGACTGGCCAACGTGGCAACACTCTACTAAAAATAAAAAAATTGGCCGGGTGTGGTGGTACGCACCAGCAGTCCTAGCTTTTTGGGAGGCTGAGGTAGGAGAATCACATGAACCCGGGAGGTGGAGGTTGCAGTGAGCCGAGACCATGCCATTGCACACCAACCTGGGCAACAGACTGAGACTCTGTCTCAAAAAAAAAAAAAAAAAAGTGTTAACACTGAAATTTAAATAAAACCCAAATATTTTGATTTCTTGATACAAATTTTATATCTCTTTTAAGATACGCGTTTCCTTTCCAACTTTCTATTTCTTGCAGTTTTGTTGCTGTTGTTGAAGACACCAGCTACTCTTTGTTGAACAGTTTACTTCGGTCTGGACTTTGAAAGTAGACCTCAAGGAAGTCAGGGAATGAGCCATGTGTGCATCTGTGGGAGGAGGATTCCAGGCACAGTGAAGCGCAATGGTGAAAACCTGGAAAGGCAAATTGATTGCCTTCCTGTGGTATCATTTAATATGGGGGTACCAGTCCATGGCCTGTTAGGAACCAGAACACACAGCAGGATGTGAGCAGCGGGTGAGCAAATAAAGCTTCATCTGTATTTACAGCCACTCCCCATCACTTGTGTTACCACCTAAGCTCCGCCTCCTGTTAGATCAGTGGCAGCATTAGAGTCTCATAGGGGCACGAACCCTATTGCAAACTGCTCATGCAAAGGGTCTAGGTAGTGTGCTCCTTATGAGAATCTAATGCCTGATGATCTGTCACTGTCTCCCATCACCTTCAGGTGGGGCTATCTAGTTGCAGGAAAGCAAGCTCAGGGCTCCCACTGATTCTACATTATGGTGGGTTGTATAATTAGTTCATTATATGTTACAATGTACTAATAATAGAAATAAAGTGTGCCATAAATGTAATGCACTTGAATTATCCTGAAACCCCTGCCAGGTCCATGGAAAAATTGTCTTCTATAAACAGGTCCCTGGTACCAAAAGGTTAGGGACCACTGATTTAACATATTCATTTTTTGCTTGTATTTTCTGTATAATACAAATTAAAAGTTAGATCTCGATTTTAGGTCAGGATTGACAAACTGAGGCCAGCCCCTGTTTTTGTGAATGAAGTTTTGTTGGAGCACAGCCATGCCCATTCATTCACAAACTGTGGCTGCTTTCAAGCTACAGTGTCTGCCATTGTTGAATAGTTTCAGCAGAGACCATATGGCCCATATTTGTCTAAAATATTTGTCGGACCTTTTAAGGAAAACTTTCTCAGCTCCTGATCTAGAGGTTTGATCAGATTCATGTTTGAATTTTTGACCTATTTTATAGGTGGTAGTATGCACTTCTACTGGGTAGAGCACAATGGTCTGATTTTCTCTCTTACTGTGAGGTTGGCAGTCCTTAATAACCGTTGCTTAGCCCTAGACCCATTAATTTGTGTTTATAAAATGATGGCTTTAAAATTTTAATATTCCTTTTATTTGTTATTTGGAATAGTTTTATAAAACACACTTTCCTTCACCAATTACATACTCTATGGTATAATTTATATAGAAAAGGCAAAATAAATATTTAATTCTCTCTTTCTCATTTTAAAACCAGTTTCCAATATTGAGTTGTTTCCCTAGCATCTTCCAGAGGTCACCAATGTGTTTAAATTTTTCTTAGAATTATTATGAAATCATGATTGGAAACACAATGTGTTTCATTTATTATCCTTATTGATGTTGAAATTGTCCTGTTTGGCCATTGGGAGCCAATTCAAGATGATTCCTGAATCTTTTCCACCCAACCTTAATGGGCTTCCTGGTTTTTTAATATAACAGGAGGTTTCAATTTCATCTCATGTATTTCCTGCTCAGGCCCAGAACTGCCATTTCTCCAAAAAGCCCTATTTTTTTCTTCCTTCTTTTTTTAACGTACAGCCCATATTTCTGGGAGTCCTAATTTGCATTTAGAAACTCCAGTCCGGGTGTTAGAGTTGTGCATTGTTTGATCTTTGTTTCTAGGCCTTCTAAATAGGCACAGCTAAGAAATAGATATTTTTGGTTTATATTTTGATACTTCGGATCAGATTTGGGGCTACAGGGTTTTAATTTGATTTCAACAATCTTACCTCTGTATCTCCTATCTCTCATGATGAAAAATTCCGGTTCTATAAGACACCAATGTAACGACTCATTTGCTCTATCCCAAGATATACAAACAACAGTTGCAAAATATGAATAATAGCACTACTACCAGCAATATGATGATTATTGTAACAAAGATTACTTGCAGTTCTTTTTGTCCCAATGATATATTTTATTATATACATATATAAAGTCAAAATACTATCTTTAAAGTCACTTCCAATACTTCCGCTCTTTGTGGTTATACCGCTAAACAGATGTACATGTCAATTCATTGGTTATTTTATTTTTTAGTTTTGGAATTGCTTGTGTAATTTAATTTTGTTTAAAATTATGTAAAATAGTAATCTGGGTCCAAAGTAAGATCTTAAGAAACCTATATTCTGTCCCTGTTTCCTTCAAACAATTCCCTTCTTCCTTCTGTGCATTTTTTGTGGTTTAATTCTCCACAAACACACACATATTAGTAGTCTTCTCTTCACTGGATAAGGCAATAACATACTCTATACATTTTTTCCTCCTTACTTTTTTTCACTTAACATTATTTCCTGGATATGGCCTGATAGTAATATATAGAGATACACTGTATACTCTATTATACCATGGTGTATGGATATGATATTGTTTATTCAATAAGTCCCTTATTGACAGGCACTTGAGTTTCCAGTATGTGTTATTTTTCTGGTACTTCTACTGTTACACATGTGCTGCAATGAATACCTTTGTGCACGTATCCTTATATTTCGCGCTATCACTGGAAATGGGATTTCTGAGTCATGGGGGAAATTCATATGTAATTTCGCTAGGCACTGCTAAGTCCCCCTTGTTGCAGCTTGGGTTACTGGGAATCTGACTCAGAGATAGAGATACATGTGTGGGAGGTTTGTGAGGGCATGCTCCCAGGATCAGCATCTGTGGAAAGGTGAAGGAAGAAGCACTGGAGACAGGGAGAAGCCGGGCTATGAGGCAAATATTTTTTAGCAATATTTTCACTGTTAAGTGGAACACTGGAAGAAACGTGTCTGTAATAGAAGATTGCTTAAATAAGGTATAGCATATCCTAGAGTGATTGAGTGAGTAATTTTGCAATCATTAAAAATTCTATGTTCAAAGACTTCTTAAAGGAAATGAAAAATATTCATGATAAAATAGACAAAATTAAGATATAAAGCTCTGCATTAAAATGATGCTAAATTCATTAAAACAATATATGTATAGCCAGGAAAATAAAACATTAGAAGAAAATATAATAAAATATTAGTAATGTGTCTCTGGGGCTAAGTTGGTAATTGGTTTCATCTTCAAATATTTTTGTCCTTTCCGAATACTCTATAATTATAAATTGACAAAAAAGACATTTTTAATATTACCTCTTTGCCTTTTCAGAACCCTTAAAAAATAAAAAACCTCTCCCCAGATCACATTAAGATATCTTTCTTTGACCTGATATCATTTATAGTTTTCATTGATTCACCAACAAAAAGGAGAAAGGAACAAATTTTCTTAACATATCAGTTTTTTTCCCTCTTTCTAGTATCTTGTATCCATGTTTTAATTTATCTAAAATATGTGAGTGCCTGTTCTAGACACTATTCTAGGCACTGGAATTCCCACAGCGTTTAAGTCCATATTTTAGGACTAAGAGAAGCGTAGTGAAAGTTCAGCTAATACTGTATAAAAATAAATTCCCACATTGTTAGTTTTGATTAATTAAAACATTTATTGAGAAAACAATGACACTAAAGTATTTGAATATTTGTAATTTCTGTAATGTCCTCAACCAAAATGTTTATGCTTACATATCTTCTATCTTTGCATATCTTTACAAATCAATACATCATTTTTGCTAGCTATGATTACATGCTGCTATTTTGTATTCTCCTTAAAAATATTTTCCCATTTTTATATATGATATTTTTAATGATAATTTTTAATCATAAGTTCTGTAATTTGTTTTAACTATTTCCTCTTTGTTGCATACTCAGATATTTTCTAGTTGAGTATCGGGGGGTTGGCGATAACATATATTATCCATACACATCTTTAAAGTATTTTAGAACTGTCCCTCAATGTAAAGACCACAACATGTAACATTAGATTTCTTGTTTTATAAAATATCAAGATATTTGTTCCTATTCTGGACTTTCTTTCAGCTCTTGAAAATCCAATTTATTCTTCTTAATTAGTTTCAACTCAAACACCCTCCTCAGAGCAGTCTTCCCCAGTGGCCATACTGAAATTTGGACTGTCCATCCAGTTTCACTTCATCACATTTCTCCATTTATTCCTTAAACATTATCACTCTCTATAACTATCTCCGCTGTTTCTTGCTAGGGCCTGTCTAACCAACCAGAATATAGAGCTCCATGATCTTGCCTGTTGCGTTTACTGCTTTATTCTCAGTGCCTGGAGTACTTAACATTAGAGATCAACAAATATTTGTAAACTATATAAATTAATGAAAAAATATGAATGAATACACATCCAAAACCATAACAAGAGAAAAGACAGCCTCATATACTACTGTTAATCCTGCAGACAACTTCCTACTATGGAATATAGGGCTGGGGGTTGCGCCAGAGCCTTCCAGCCTCAGCCAACAATAGAGCCAGAGGGAACCAACTCCTTGAGAGTCTCAGAAGGTCAGAGTCTGAGTCTCTGGCTCAGATTCCTCCCGCCTTCAGAGCAAGTCCCATTAGAGGTTTTCAGTGAACATTCCTGCCACAAATATTGGTCAAAGGCGCTTGGACTGACCCAGCAGGTTCCTTAACTTTAAATCTCGGCTGGAAGGCCCTGGAGCTTCTTAAGAGAATTGATTGCTGGCCTGCCCCAACTCTGCCTGCCAAGGAGTGGGGCAGTCTCTAAACACCAACAAAAGCTCCTCTCACACCCTATCCCCAAGGGCACACCTATGTTTATATAACAGGAGTATACTGCAGTTGCTTTAATATTTAAAAGCAAATCCAAAGGCACTTGCTACCTTTATACCATGACAGAAGAGTCTGGAAGAAAAGTTAACCTCAGATACTAAGCAGCCACCCATTACACTTACACACGGTATAATCTACAAGCTCTAAAATATGTTAGCAGCTGCCCATATAAAAGTAAATATGTAACTGGGCATGCTGATGCACAGGTACTCACATACTCGAGAGGCTGAGGTAGGAGGCTCTCTTGAGGCTGGGAATCCAAGGCTGCAGTGTTCTGTAATTGCACCTGCAAATACGCATTGCACTCCAGCCTGAGCAACATAGTGAGAACCTGTCACTATTTGGTAAGTAAAAATTGTAAATATGTACTAGTGGCTTAGGTTTATGACTGTCTTGAGAATTATTTATTTTCTCTGTCCTCAACACAGTCCTGTAGAGTAGGAAAGTCTTTGTCCAAGGAGTTCCAAGTTACAAGCACCACATACCTTTGTGTATGTATCATTATATTTTGCCATATCACTGGAAATGGGATTTCTGAGTCACGGAGGAAATTCATACGTAATTTTGCTAGGCGCTGCTAAATTCCACTTGTTTCAGCTTGGGTTCCTGGGAATCTGACTCAGAGACAGAGATAATTGTGTGGAAGGTTTATGAGGTTTATATTCAAGATCCATGAATGTAGTTTCCAGGTAAAAACTGAAATGAGACTAGATCCCAGAATTGTTCTCTCCACCAAATCTGACAAAATGAATGAAAAATAATTAATAAATGGCTGGATGTGGAAGGTTTTTATGATGATGACATACATTGCTATGCACTGGCCAAGGAGAACAGGTGATTGATGGGTGGCCCAGGATGGAGTATCTCCTAACACCAGTCAACCTTCCATGTACAATGGAAAGAAAATATTCAAAATCACAAATTCAATAGTTATCATTAATGCTTTCTAATACATAGAAAAGTGAACAAATTGGGTGGATAGACAAGAAAAAAAGCTTTCAAGTGTAAACTCCCCATGTGAGTTCCATCTGTGGTTTGGTGGAAGTGGGCCTAGCTTACTAGGTCCCCTAAGACTGGAGAAACCAGGCCTAATCAAAAATCAAAAATCTGAAATTCTCCAAAATTCAAAACTTTTTGAGCACCACCAACATAATGCCAGAAGTGGAAAATCCCACTTTGGGGACACCTTTGCTTTCTGATGGTTCAATGTACACAAACTTTTTTCATGCACAAACTTATTTAAAATATTGTATAAATTACCTTTAGGCTCTGTGTAAAGGTGTATAGGAAACATAAATGAATTTTGTGTTTAGAGTTGGGTCCCAACACCAAGGTATCTCCTTATGTGTATGCAAATATTCCATAACCTGAAAAAAATCAAAATCTGAAACACTATTGGTTGGTCCCAAGCATTTTCCATAAGGGCTGCTCAACCTGTATTATCTCCTTCAATTCTAACAATAATCTTCCAATAATATCAGAAATATAGTTTATTAAGCCAGGAGAAAGAGTAAACATTATGACATTGTTAGGAATGTTTGTGTGTTTAAGCAGGATTTTGGTCTGACATAGAAATATGAATATATCTGTGCTCACAGGTGAGTAGCATCTGTATTCTGACTATTCCAAATGAGTAATTTTTGTACCTGCAATTTGTTACAAAAGTGAGTTTTCCAAATTATTTTCTTAAATCTGACAGGTTAAATAGTTTAAATAAAATTGTGTGTCTAATAGGCATGATTGAGATCTAAAGAGATTTTACCCTGTATTTACCAGCTTAAAATAAAAGAAAAAAAATAGATTTACAATTTCAAGGCACCTCTCTGATTATCAATGCCCATATTGTTCAGTGATGATGGAGACAGTTTTTAAAGTTTTCTTATTTACTATGATTTATCTGTATTTAAGAAATTAAAAATACAAAAAAAAAAGATACTCAAGTGTTGGGGGCTGCAGGTCTTCAAAATGTTTTTTACAGCATCTGATCAACATAGTTCTCTCTAGTCCTTTTTTTGATGTTATAGATCCTAAGAAAACATCGTTTCTAGATTCTAGTATTTCTGTCCTGTTTATATTTATCAGAGAGTGAAATAAATCCAGAAGAGTATTTTTACATTCTATACAATCTCAACAGAAAAACAAAACAAGCTAAGTGAAGATGTATTTGATTACTACCAGTAGACTTCATTACTTTTATTTTCAAGAAAAAATATATAAATTGTTAGATGTTTTACCTTCAATATGGTGAAAATGACAGCAGCGCACTTCACACTTACCTTTTTATTTAGTGCTGTACCTTCCTAATTTGGCAGTTTTTTAATTGGCATTCAGAAACCTATCGCCCATGTTACCTGTCTGCTCAGATGTGGTTTGCGAACATTTCCTAACCATACCATCCCATCCCTTTCCTTTAGTCCTCAGTGGCTTCCCCTGCACTTCCAGCTCTGAAGTAACACATGCTTTTCCTTTCTTAAACACAGTATTGTTCGCACCTTTGCATCCTGTAAAGCTTCCTTTGCACAAGATATACCTGTCGAAAACCATGTACCCAGATGTAGGTTCCGTCAAAGACTCAGTAATTGAGTGAGAGAGTTCTGGTGTGTAGACAACGGTGGCTTTGGAAGCAAGCCAGCCTGGGTTTAGTAAAAATTAAAGAAATAGGAAAGAAATACAAAAGGTGGCTTGACAGTCACAGACAGGTTTAATTTAGAGAAAATAAACATGGGAGGGGCATCTGGCCGAGTTAGGTCAGAGGCATACTCCCTTACAGACTAAGAGTTTTTAAGGATTCAAGGTGGGAGAGTTTATCAGAGGCCTCGACTGCTTCTGTGTCTCTTTGTTGTGCTTATCTGAGAGGGAGAGTTGTATCTCTGTTCCCATATATCTTTCTGCAGCTGCAGGCATACCCCACTTTTAGCTTCCTATCTTTTAACTTCCCTAACTTAGTGCACCCAAAGGGAAAGGAATGTTCTTATTAAGGCCCACTGTTTAACTGGGGCCCATTGTATGAGGATGAAGTTTGGCAGTTACCCAAGAGACTTTGCTCCCTCCTCCCTCTGTGCCCGAGCTGTCTCATCTGTGTTTTACCGTTCTGCTCTTTCCGGCTGCTTGTAGTTAGAAGAGAAGTGATTTCCTGGAAATGCATGGGGCTAGAAAGGGAGCTGAAACATAAATTAGCGGTGTTTATCCAAGATGACGATGCTCCTGCTTTGTCAGGTTTGCTTCCTGTCCCTGCCAGTTATTAGCTAGGAAACGTGGGGAAAATTGCTTAGCTTTTCCAAACTCCATCTTTAAAGTGAGAATAGTAACTTTCAGGTTTATTATAATGATTGAAAGAGATAATACATATGTTAAATACCTAACATATATTAAACCTTATTAAATAGCAGCTACTTTCATTGTTTTCCACACTTAAACATTGTAAACAGATATTATACAAGATTTAAATATTGGTAACTAGCTGTCTGAGATCATTAATATTGCCCTTAGGATATTGTCAAATCAGCTGTTGAAATTTACCTGATATACTAACTGCTATGCTTACTCACTTTTCCCTCCCTCCCTCCCTGCTTCCCCCTCCCTTCCCCCTCCCTCCCTCTGTCATCCCCTTCCTTCCTTCTTTCCTCCTTTCCTTTCTTTCTTTAGTTTTCTTTTAAGAAATGCCTTTTTATGAAAATATTTCAAAAGGAATTCAAGTTTATTTTGAAAAAAATGCACACCAATACAGAAATATAGAGAGGAAAATGGCAACTCATCCTCCTCACCACACCACCAGCTCCAGTCTCATGCCTCTGGACCAAGGTAGCCAATCCTAAAAGTTTGACATGGATCATCTCAGATGCTTATCTATGTGTGTGTGTGTGCTCTGCACATTGATTTTTTAGTTAATGTATCATGTTGGAGAATGTCTGCCTTTTTACTTCATATTTTTGCAACAAGTTAGCAGAACACAACCTTCTAGGGTCTCAATGTCTTGTCTTCAGGATGCAGGACAATTGTCTTCTGGCTGTAAGTAAGCTTGTAAGTCATTCTGATCAAATCATCTCCATCCTTTTTTTTTTTCCAATGGATGCTGTGAATACATTACCATCTCCAAATGTAATGTCAATTCATATTTTTATTTTCTTTGTAGCAGTTCTTGCTTTCAGTATTGTGTTTTTGCAGGGCATAAAAATTAATAAAAATTTTATTTTTGTTAGAGTGTAACTTTAATCCATAGAAAATGTTCATTTTTAATTTTTCCTCTTTGAAATCACTTGCATCCCTTATTAATGCTGATATGTCTGCTTTTGTGTTTTTGTATTTTTTAAAATAAAACTTTGTTGATTTTGTCATTTTCAATGCTTTTATGTTTAGTTTCAGGTGTGTCTTTTATAAGCAGCTTATATCCAGATGTTTTTAACCCAATCTGACAGCTTCTGTGAGATGGAAATTCAATGCATTCATATATACTGTGATGATTCAAATGTATTTCTTGCTCTTACCCCCTTTTAATTTTATTTTCTATTTTTATGCTTTATTTCTTTTTACATTTTTCCTTGGTTGCTACTAAGCTTTATCCATTTCTTAAATTTCCTCAACACATTTGTAGATTATACATTTTACTTCTATTTTTGGAGCAGTTATCTTAAATTTTAAATTTAATGTTTGATTACCTGAGAAATATAATTGTACATTCTCCTTATTTGAAGAAACAAATTATTGAGGCAAAAGCCCTTTTCATCATCTCCTTCAATGTCAGTCCTTTCTCTCTATCTCACAATCCAAAAGAAAACACTCTTATCAGTTTATTGTGGTTGTTCCCTGACATTTTGGACATATATTGACGTATGTTTACTTTGCTTTATATTGTGTCTTCCATAAGTTGCATCACCAAGTTCTGCTATTTTTGAAATTGTTTTACTCAACAAATATGTTTTGAACATCTTTCCTTGTTAATTAACATAGGTGGACCTATTCTTATTGACTGATAAATAGTAATCCATCATATGATTAAATGCCAATTTTTATTTGCATTCATATTAGTAAACATTTAACTTCTTCATATTTTTTCACTATTACCAACAATTTGCAATGAACTTCCTAGTACTGCCTCCATTTATACTACTATAGGCTGTTTCTCTTTTTAATGTTATTGGATACTGCCAAAATGATCTCCAGTTTTTATGAAAGATTAGTTTTCTCCACACTCTTGCCAACACTTAATATTGTCAGCTTTTGAAACATTTACTAATTTTCTGGGTAAAATATGTTATTATATATAATTTGCATTTGTGTGATTATATCTTTTCAAATGCTGAATATCTCACTTGGATTTCATCTTTCATGAACTGTTTGAGAATATACTTTAAAAATATTTTCTGTTTTTTGCTTTTCTGTTTATCCTTAGAAATTACTCATATATTCTGAATTCTAATTTTGTATCTGTTCAGTCTGTTACAAATATTTGTCTCTCAGTGACCTCACCTTCTTTAACTTTATTTATGCTGCCTTTATGCTAAGAAGTTGTTGGTTTTTTTCTTTAATTCTATGTGGTTCTTGCAGCTTTTGTCAACCATTCTAGTCACTTCCTAGATTCCCAATGCTACTGTAGTTTGTGTGTGTGGGCATGTGGATGAATATATGCAGTCATTTTAATTAGCTGTGGAGAGGATATCTGCAAGTAACTGCAGCTTTCCATATTGAAGTTTTACTACCATTAGCTGAGGCTTTGCCAGGTGCCTGTGAGAAGATGCTAAGAACACTTCGAGTGGAATTTTTCATTATTAAGTCTTGTAGCTCAATGTCATTAACTCCCCAAAATATCTTGAGTTCCAACAGGTAACAAAAAGCCACAGGCAGAACTGATACCTGAACTCTATGACATTTGCCATGTGAGTCTGAAAATGGGATGACAAAACTAAGACATGCCATCTCCTCATTTTCATGCTGAAAAGAAATTAAAGAGAATCTGCACAAGAGTTACATTTTTCAATAATGTGTTACTACTGGAATAAATAAACTATACTTTTTAAAAAATATAACATTTAATTTTTAATTATAAGAGAAATAGATGTTAATTTTAAAATTCGAGAGAATAAAGTTTTATAAAGATAATTAAAATGACCTAAAATCCCACCAGCCAAGACGACCACTGAAGACATTTTTTTTAAACAAAGATATTTTGATAAATATGCTTTAGGTTCTGCTTCTATGTCTGGTTTCATGGTTTTTTATTTTTTTTACCCCAAAATTTGGCTTATTTAGTGTTTGGGGCTCTCTCCACTATTCCAGCGTGTCTCGCTTGCTATTTGAAAACTTGTTAAAGCATAATAAATTAGAAGCCTTATTCAGGGATGGCAGGGATGAGAAAGGGATATCAGGTTGTTATGGGAACCCGTGGTCTTTAGAGCTATTGGTCAAAAATAGAAGCCTCAGGATGGCAGGATGAAAGATCCTCTCTGGAAGACTAAGAGGTGAAGTGAGTCTCTTGGGGAAAGCAATAGCGTAGGCAGAAAAACAATAAAAAGAAGCACAAGGCACCTTTTACAGAAAGGGGTTCCATTTTTTCTTATGACCGTGGCCACCATCTAGTGGTCAGGCTTGGAAGCGGGATTCAGGCTCCAGATACTGAGCACACGGCCAAAGCCCCATGGTGGAGTTGATGGCGTGACCCTGCCTTTTCTCTCCCGCCTTGTGGGGCATCCTTTACTTCCTGGCACGGAGGTACACTTGCATGGGGTTTTCCTGCCACTCTGGTAGGGAGGCCAGGCTGTCAGCCACCTCCTTCTGGATAGGCCAGCCCCAGGCCTCAAAGAAGGGAACCAGATTCTTCTTCACTTTTTCAGAGAACTTCTTCACCCATAGATTCATCCTGCCAGTGTTGTCTTTGGGGAGGTGAGAGAGGGTCTGGTACTCAGCAAAGAGCTGGGTGAATGGCTCCCACCCGAAGGCCTGTTGGAGCTGAAAAGGGAAAGAAGGAACAGAATGAGGTGTCAAGTTTGCAAAAGTGACGTGACATGTGCGTTCTTAAATATATTTCATTCACATGATCACCTCCCCTCAATCGTTACCTTCATCCTGGGTATGTGCCCCTATCTCCCCACTCTGCCCCTGCACAATAATGCAATCTTGTTGGCTCATTCCTCCTCTTGGCCACAAAACAACACCCCCTGAATCTAGTGGGGGTGCTCAGGGGAAACCTAATGTCTGAATAGAGGTAAATACTCAATAAATGTCCACTATTAGTATCTTTAAACAATTGTCTTCCCAGATCTCAAGTGTTTTCCTCAGCATCAGGACAGGTTTGGGCCTGACTGAGATGAGAAACCCTCACTTCCTACATATCTGGCCTATTGAGATTCTAAAAGCTGCGAACCTCCAATACTATACTTTCCAGACATCATAATAATCCTTATTTTTTAATAGCCATCTTGGACCTGTGGCTATCTGCAATGATACAAAATTGCTCTGTAGAACACTGCATTTAGGGCAGAAAAAGAAAAAAATCCAGCCTGTCTCGAGGGGCTAAAAATGAGAGTGGCTCATACTTCATAAGGGGCAGCTAATGAGAGTGGCTCATACTTCATAAGGGGCAGCTCTCCGGAAAGCCCTTGGCAGAAGGCCCTTGTTTACTAAGATTATACAAATTTCCAGTTAGCGGGGATCTGGGGTTTCACATCCCCACTCTCCCTTTAATAGATGAGCATTCTGTGACTGTAGCTCATAAAAGCCCAAAGACAGATAACACCACCGAAGCCAAGCCTACCTCAGAGTCTCACTGTTGTATCCTTATTATTGCTCATCTGTTCTCACTGGCTTGCTCTTTGACACTTATTAATCAATGCATCAATAAATTAAGCATTTATTAAACGTTTAACATGTATTAGACACCCACACACCGCCAGCTACTGTGCTAGGCAAACATCATTAAGAGCTCTTGTCCTTCTAGAGAACACTGGCCAAAGGGAGAAACACACGTAAATAAACACATTGCTAAAACTGTTGGTTTATCAAGGAGGCGATGTCCAGGAGAGAAAGGGCCAACAGAGCTGAATTTGGACAGGTGACTTGACAGCTAATGGACAAGATGTTCCAGCATGATTCAGCAGCAGGAAGCAAACAAGGGGAGGCACAGAAGCCAAAACAGCAAGCTGTGTCCGTAACCATAAGCAGGTTGGCATGCCGAAGGGTAAATGTGGAGGTGAGAGCAGTAGGAGATGTAGCTAGAGGTGCTGGTGAGGCTGGTCATGAAGGGCCTCCTATGCCCTGCTAATGAGCTTTGATTTTACCCTATATATGCTAGAGAACACTGTAAGCATTTGATAGACAGAGTATTAACATTATTTTGGAAGGAGTGTAAGGAAGATGGATCATAGAGGATTGAGGCAAGATGCTGGGACAACTTAGAAGGCTACTGGAATACACTGAGGGAAGACTAACGAGGCCTGAGCTAAGGCAGCAGTGGCACGGATGCTGGGGAGAAGCCCTCTAGCAGGAAGAGGAGTCAGAAGGTGCCTGTTTATCCTGAGGCCAAGTCTCAGACTTGGTCTCTCTAGAGCTATTGAGAACTGATATTCGGGGCTCCACAGTGAGTAGGTAGCAGACTAGGACAGAATTAGGGCTTAAACTTACAGTTTAGGGGCAACCTACCATTGTGGTCAGTGGTCCTGTATACCCCCAGACTGGCTATCTAAGGATATGGAAATGAATGCAATACAAAGTTACCTCATTGACTGGGACTGTCTCACATTCACTCTTCAGAAAATTAGTGAAAGGCACAAAAAACTAAGAGAGGGTATGGCAATGCGAAAGCCTGGGGCTTGTCATTACGTCCTGATTTTAAGTTCTAGGTCCTTCACTTAAATGGGGGCTACTGGAAAGATTGCTTAAATTCTTTAAAATAGTGTGTGCCTCTGTGAAAAGTGGGCCAGACAGCTCCTATCCATAGAGCTGTGGGAGACATTGCAGGAGATCTGAAAGGGGAACAACATTGACAACTTGAAAACATCGACATTCAATGCAGGGCTAGGGGAGGGGGCAGGGATTTGTGTTTATTTCACAGGAAGTAGACTTGCTTTATGAATTCAGTGTTCTACTATTGGGTTGACTGGCTCTTCATTTTAAATCATTTTGGCTTCAAGTGGGGTGATGGATGATGAGACCCTTGTTAGCAGATTTGTCTCCAACAATGCCTTCTTATTGTAATGCAGCTGCATTGCAGACACCCTCCGTTATTATAAAAAAGCATAACTCATTTGACTCATAAAACTCAGGTGAAATAAAACAAAACTAAACAAAGCAATGACCATTTATGGAACACTTATTAGGAGACCAAGAACAAAACCAATGAGGGCAAGAGCTGTGATTCAGCTGCAGGAATGTCTAACAGAGTTTCTGCCCTTGAATAATATGCTATATTTCTATTTTTTTCATAATATTTTTCATTTCCTCTTACATTGCAAAATCAGAAGGTGAGTGAGACAGGTGCCATTCTCTCTGCCTTAGAGGGGTGTAACCCAAGAAGCACCACCCTGCGGCCCAGTCTCTCTCATTTCCAGGGGAGGTGGAGGTCCAGGCTGGTGGAGTGGCGAAGGAGGTGGAGAGCTACTGGGATCCAGGTCGCTACATGACTGAGGGGTCTGGTCATCCCCTTCTCCCAGAATTTCTGCTCAGTACCTGTAGATATGTTTCCAGGGCTGTCCATACATTCCAGTCACACAGGGGGGCTCCCTTTCCCAGGTGGGCCTTGATTCTCCTCTCTCGCTCTGGAGGGCTCAGAGCCTCATGGGCCTGAGCCCTGGGGATCCCCAGGACTGTTTCATGCACGTAGACTGACCAAAGGTTACAGGTGGCCTCAGTAGTGTGTGGGGGGAACTCCCATCCATGCCACTGTTGGTTGTGGCCCAGCTCATGGATGGGGCCCCACACACCCCTGCTCCTCATGTCCATCTCATTGATGATCTCCTTCACAGACTCCAGGTGGCACATGATGGGGTATCCTGAATGCATCCAGCCTGGGAACACAGAAGGAAGAGATGAGCATTGAGGAGGGTCCGCCCAAACTATCTCCTTCATTCTTCTCCATTATTGGACTTTTCTTCACCATCCTGGTTATCCCCAATAATTGCAGAATCTCTGTGCTGATTGGAAAGCAAATAGCTTTCCCCTACTTGGTCAGAAACTGAATAGTACCTAATCCCCTTCTTAGTCTCTCACACCTGAGTTGTGGCCTCCTCCTCAATCTGGCCCTGGAGAATTTGGTTATACTTTACATAGTCATTCTTGCTGTAATTCGACACCTTCATTTTGTGTGTGTGAGTGTCCTTTACATGTCAGTCTGAGATATGATGTCCTCTGACTGGATCTGAGATCCTTGAGGGCTAGAACAGTGTCATTCTTTCTTCCCCATGTATACTACTTTTGTCCAAATTTACACTCTATGACAGAGATAATTTTTGTCCTTATTTGAAGGTATGAAAATTGAGGTCCAAAGAACTTTCCCCATTTGGGATCCAGAGTTCCTTATTTCTCTTCCTATGTACCTCTTTCTTTTTAACCACTCAGTACTTACCATAAACCTCCTTACGTATTTCCTCTTTTCATTTTCAACTCTGGCTTATGTTTGAAGAAAATAGTTGATTTTCTATGTTGTCCTTGAAATGACTCTGGTTGCCATCTATGAATTCCCAATACAACGTTTTCTGAGATTGTTTTACCATCCAGTGAAATCTCACCTTGTAGATGTCAATAATTTGTTTTTCACATGTAAACATTCTTTCATCCCCATCATGGTCAATGTCTTTTATATCTTTTTCCCTTGCTTTACTAATAAAATTATGCTTACACATTTTGGACATTCATAAAAGGCAAAGTAATAGATACATGGTTTCCACTGACTAGGAGGATTCCCTGGGAGCACCCACCAGCTGAGATCTGCACATCAGCCACAATCCTCTCAGGACGGCGGAAAGGGAAGGGCTCAGCCGCCAGCCTGGCCACAGCCTGCATCATCTCATCCCAGAGGCGGAGCACAGGCTCGGGGTCCTTCAGGGCCTGAAGGTTTGTGGTTGGCACTGTCAGGATGATGTTGTCCGTGGCCAGCTCTCCCCAGGGAGCCAGGTTCTCCTGCATCTGCCTCTTCCACTCCTCCAGCGATGTCTTACCTGGGAATAAATATCATGGAACCTACCACACCCACTTCTCCAACTTCCCTTGAGCTGAAAAATACCATTTGAACTCTGGAAGAACATTGCAATAATGAACTACTATCACAGGCGTCTATAGGCTGTAAAGTGAAGAAAAGGCTTCCTGACTCTTCTCTTTGTCTGCCCTGAAGTCTCCATGGACACAGGGTATTCCGTATCTTCTGCCTCCATGTTCCCTCCCAACAGTTCTTCCTCTTTCTCTCCACCAAAGCTCATCCCTCTCCCATTTAGCAACCACCCCACAGTTCCCACGGCATCTGCCACTCTTCCTCCTCCCTAAATGTTCACTCCACTTACCCAGCTTGTAGTATGGGGCAGGCACAGCTCCCCTGATAGTGACAGGCACAGGGCCTAGTTGGCTGCCCTTGGGCACGATGACGTAGAGGAGGCCGCCCCAGAGGCAGGAGACTGACCGCTCAGTCCTGTCCATCCAGCATTGGTGAGTCACCACGGGGGCTCGAGATAGCTTCCTGGCCTTGGTAAGGTCATCGGTGTGGCAGCCTATCTGTACCTGGACAGGTGATTCCACCAAGCGTTGGAGAAATTAGAGTCTTTGTGATGCTTTGTGATGTGCGTGTGAGGTTGTGTAGATGGAAGGTATTAGACAAACATGCCCATGAAACCCCAGCTTCCCTTTTCTATGTGCTAGGCATGGAAACTTATGAAATTTTAGCACTCCAAAGTCATTTGGACTTCAAGGCATTTAAAATCATTTTTCTAAGGATTTAAACAGCTCCACTATAAGTCTTCACCTGACATGAATTGGTGAGAGACAAGGCTGATCCTGGCAAAGGTCTTGTGTCTTTCTGCCAGGCAAAATCCTGGGTTCTTCTAGCAGGACCTAAGCCAGTCTGGGGACGCTGATATTGAGGATGAGCTGGGGGACTCTGCTCTGTCCTCTGTGAACACACAGGAGGCCCATCCAGAGTGAGTGAGGTTGATTCTCTCTCCCTCTTTGCCCAGAGCTTCCCTTTCTGGCCGCCAGATGGGTGGAGATCTGTTTTGTCTGGAGTCCTGGAGTTGCTTTTCTTAGGTTTGATATAAGCAAGCTCCAGAAAGAATGCTGACAGAAAAGGGACCCTAGCTGTGGTAGGAAGTGGCCCTCAGAGTCAAGGAGGCAGGATGAATTTAAATTCTGCATGTAGGGCATATTTTGGGGAGTGATGGGATTATGCACACCCTTCAGGTGTCAAGATAAAGAGATAAAACCAGAGTTTGTGCAGAATGAGCTTGCTGACACACAGCCTAAATTTGTACCGCATGTTTCATACTAACTCCCTCTGAGTTTGCACATGGGACCCATGAGGAGGCATGAAGAGGTAACTGCCCATGCCCGAGGATTTTCCAGCCCTTCCTTTTCTTTCTATCAATCACCTACTAATCACAGAATCCACTCCCTACACCTTTTCTACTAAAATAACTCTTTAAAATAAGTACAATGGGACAGATTTGAGCTGGGCTCCTGTCTCCTTGTTAATCAAATTGCAATAAAATGTTTTCTTTTGTTTTTGTTTTTTTTTTGGTGAAAAACTCAAGTGTCATAGTTTTGGCTTCTAGTCCATTCTGCAGTGAGCTTCTCTTGCTTGATAACACTAGGCACTTCAGTCACTCACTTAGATGCCCTGAAATTTAGCTGCTTCATCTGTAAAATCTGTAAAATGGGCAGAATAATCCATCTCTGTACTCCTGGCAGCATTGCCATGAGCTGGAACTAGACAGTGGATGAGAATGACACAGCTCTACGGTTTTGAGAGGTGGCAGATGTGGGTGTTCAGACCTTACCCTCAGGCCAGCAGAGGCAGCAGCTTCAGACAGTGAGACTTCTGCATTTTGTCCTTCCAGGAGGTAGAGCCCGGTACTCACCCAGCAATCATTGTTGCCTGACAAAAGTCACAGAGAAGGCTCAGTTCTTCCTTCCTATGTGAGTATATCTCCACTTGGGGCCTCCCAGCCCCTCCCAGTGGTACAGCTTCTCCCCTGTGTATCTCAAGTCATCCATACTTCTTAGACTCATCCCCTCTAAACCTTAAGCAGTGTCCCAATCCCCATCTTCTTGAAAGTACCTGATGAAGAATGGAGTCAGCTGGGCCCAGTGGCTCACGACTGTAATCCCAGCACTTTGGGAGGCCAAGGCAGGTGGATCACCTGAGGTCAGGAGTTCCGGACCAGCCTTACCTTTACGGTGAAACTCTCTCTCTACTAAAAATACAAAAATTAGCCAGGCATGGTGGCGTGTGCCTGTAGTCCCAGCAACACAGGAGGCTGAGAGAGGAGAATTGCTTAAACCCAGGAGGTGGAGGTTGCATGAGCTGAGATCGCGCTACTGCATTCCAACCTGGATGACAGAGTGAGACTCTGTCTCAAAAAAAAAAAGAATGGGGTCAATCTTCTTGAGGGTAGGTACCTGCAATGTCCTGTGTAGTGTCAGCCAATCCCACTTTCCCCTACATCTTTAATGTTCTGGGCACTCTCTCCTGTTTTCATACCTGGGTTGATTCCATTGATCTCCACGGTGATGGGGTGTTTTGAGGGGTACAAACTGGAGGAGCAGGTCCAGGTGCCAAGCCCCTGGGCCAGCTGGGAGCAGTCAGTTCCAGAGTGAGCCAGCCCAGTGGCCAGGGAGAGCACCGCAGCCTCATAGGAGTCACTGGCAACTGGATTTTCCCGGCTCACAGCTGGGAGGCCAGACCCTCGTAGCATCTTCCTCAGGAGCCTGTGCAGGGATATGTAAGCAGGGACCCCCTCCGCAGGAATCTGTAGGAAGGCTGCACCATCAACTCTCAACTTTGCCAGACAGCTCTTTTCCAAGTTCCCATTCTCGTGGTTCAGTATAGCCTGGAATTGAGAGAGCGCCTTGCGGAAGTGGTAGCTTCTCATCTCAGGGGTGGGAACGGGGAAGCAGCCTGCTTTGAGAGTCTGAGGCAGGATGCTGAGGCCAAAGCAGTTGAGGATGATGTTACCAGGGAAGCCAGCCAAGGGGCAGTGGCCAGGGTTCTGGGAGGCCCACCACCAGGCCTGGCCCCCAATCAGCAGCCCCCCACCCTCAGCCACAAACTCCTGCAGCTGCTTAGCCTCCTTGTCACTGTATGCCTTGCAGCAGTAGACACACAAGTCGCTGTTCAGATGGGGCTCCAGGCTGCATTGCAGGCCATGCTCCGATAGGAGAGGACACAGATCTTTTAGATTTGTGTTCACCCCAACTTTGCCTGTCTGGCCTCTGGCCAGCCAGCGCACCGCATTGAGCAAGAAGGGCCCCATCTTGGGAGCACAGAGCAGGCACTCGTGGGCAGCCAGGACCACCCGGCCCCGGCCATAGTGAGCAGCCGCCAGGAAGCAGTTGAGTGAGGCATCCAGCCCCAGAGGGAAGGCCAGGGCTCCATGTACAAGCAGCTGTGAGGGGACTCCCCCTGTCCTGATGTCCAGCTCTGAGATCCCCTCCAGGAGCTGCTGCTGGTCCTGCCTGACATCCTCCCCATACCTGGAAGAGACAGGAGAAACAATGAGGCTACAGTCAGTTAATGAGCCACTGAATCGAACTCATTGAGTAGAGAAATCTATGTGCAGGTAAGAAGATTGCACGGTTCATGTCAATCTTCACATTCTTACTAATATTAGGATTTTAGCATGCTAATATCATTTATTTTTATCATATTTAAGGCATATTTTTTCACTGTTTTTACAACTGATGGCATATTATCATTTAATTGGCAATGTTTAGTCTTTCTTTCTTTTCTTTCTTTCTTTTCTTTCTTTCTTTCTTTTTTTATTTGAGATGGAGTTTCGCTCTGTCGCCAGGCTAGAGTGCAGTGGCACAATCTCGGCTCACTGCAACCTCCACCTACCGGGTTCAAGCAATTCTACTGCCTCAGCCTCCCGAGAAGCTGGGACTACAGGTGCGTGCCACCACACCCAGCTAATTTTTGTATTTTTAGTAGAGACGGGGTTTCACCATGCTGGCCAGGATGGTCTGGATCTCTTGACCTTGTGATCCGCCAGCCTCAGCCTCCCAAAGTGCTGGGACTACAGGTGTAAGCCACCATGCCCGGCCTGGTCTTTCTTAGTGATACATAAAATAATGGCATTTCTCACAATCAATTTGTCATAGATTTGAGGAAACGCTATAGAGGTAGTGCCCTTACTTGCATATCTTAAAATCCACATTTTCTAAATGAACACCTCCAGGAATTCCTCCCATTTAGTCAACTATGTGTTGAATATTTAGGCTTCAGTTTCTTGACTTTTAAAATAATTAAACATATAAACAAGTTAGAAAAACTAGTTTATTATGCCCAGAGAAAGTAGTACTGCTTATGAATTTCTCGATCTAACTTTCTGCAAAGGAAGGCTGTAAAAACACCAAATCTGGACTCTCCGTAGGGTAGTTCTGATCTAGGAACACATCACAATTAAATTGTATAACACTACGCTTGAAGATTTATACAAACACACACTGTTTTTAAAACTTCACTTAGATCTGGTTAGAGTATTCACTTCTTCTTCTTAAGGAATGGTCAAAATGTAATGAATCAAGAAAAGGCTTTGTATTTCAAGAATTTTTTTAAAACAATTTGTATATACTGTAAATGTCAAGCAATAGGAGGTTGGTTAAATAAATTATGGTTAACAATAGATTGCAAACCATATAGTGATTAAAATAATTATTAGGTAACTTGAAAAATGCTTAATGGAAAAAGTTTTAAAATTAGATTCCAGGATACCATGCTCTAAATAAGCCAAATTTTGGGGTAAAAAAAATAAAAAACCATGAAACCAGACATAGAAGCAGAACCTAAAGCATATTTATCAAAATATCTTTGTTTAAAAAAAATGTCTTCAGTGGTCGTCTTGGCTGGTGGGATTTTAGGTCATTTTAATTATCTTTATAAAACTTTATTCTCTCGAATTTTAAAATTAACATCTATTTCTCTTATAATTAAAAATTAAATGTTATATTTTTTAAAAAGTATAGTTTATTTATTCCAGTAGTAAAACATTATTGAAAAATGTAACTCTTGTGCAGATTCTCTTTAATTTCTTTTCAGCATGAAAATGAGGAGATGGCATGTCTTAGTTTTGTCATCCCATTTTCAGACTCACATGGCAAATGTCATAGAGTTCAGGTATCAGTTCTGCCTGTGGCTTTTTGTTACCTGTTGGAACTCAAGATATTTTGGGGAGTTAATGACATTGAGCTACAAGACTTAATAATAAAAAATTCCACTCGAAGTGTTCTTAGCATCTTCTCACAGGCACCTGACAAAGCCTCAGCTAATGGTAGTAAAACTTCAATATGGAAAGCTGCAGTTACTTGCAGATATCCTCTCCACAGCTAATTAAAATGACTGCATATATTCATCCACATGCCCACACACACAAACTACAGTAGCATTGGGAATCTAGGAAGTGACTAGAATGGTTGACAAAAGCTGCAAGAACCACATAGAATTAAAGAAAAAAACCAACAACTTCTTAGCATAAAGGCAGCATAAATAAAGTTAAAGAAGGTGAGGTCACTGAGAGACAAATATTTGTAACAGACTGAACAGATACAAAATTAGAATTCAGAATATATGAGTAATTTCTAAGGATAAACAGAAAAGCAAAAAACAGAAAATATTTTTAAAGTATATTCTCAAACAGTTCATGAAAGATGAGATGGAGTTTCGCTCTGTCGCCAGGCTAGAGTGCAGTGGCACAATCTCAGCTCACTGCAACCTCCACCTACCGGGTTCAAGCAATTCTACTGCCTCAGCCTCCCGAGAAGCTGGGACTACAGGTGCTCCAAGGTGCTTGAGTTTGGAAACATGAGACAAAACCAGAAACAGAGACCCTGGGAGAGTCTGTGGTCCCCATTTTTCCGCTGAGCAAACCACAGGCTTGTGTTCTGCCTATCTCCCACTTCGCACATGTACAGCATTGTAGAATATTTACATGGATAAGGATTCTATGATATAGTAGAGTGACTTCCCCTATTGATAACAAACAATTATGTCAGTCCCTACACAACTCTTATGCTAAAGGTAATGGGGAGGGTTGAATGGTACTCATTTGGGCAGCTTTTTTTTGGCTATGTATACTTTCAGAAAGAATTTACCTCACCTAGATCACATGACTAAAATATAGGAATATTAATACCCACTGTGTCTAATTGGCAGATTGTTTTGAGATTTTAAATGAGATCTATTCATGAAAACATTTTGTTAATCTTAAAGCACCACACCAATATCACCTATTATATTGTACAGCCATGATCAACACAATTTCCAATCTAGAAGTCCCTCTCAACTTTTCCTGGGACTGAGCTTTCAGGACTTAGAGTTCCTTCTCCTTCTCATTCTTTTTCTGCGCATAGTCTCCCGGTAAAGTGAAAACCAGCTGAGAAAAGATTCGGGCTGGACAGGCCTCCGTGGCGATTAAGAGTCACGAATGTGATGATATTATTCGCAAACAGCAGTGTAGTCATGGTTCAGAATTTTGGAAACAGTGCCAGGAGGATCTTGGACATAATTTTCAGGGTGTATAAGCCCTGCACTAAAGTAAAGTTTACCAGTGCCAAGAGTTTGACGTTTTCTTCTTCATGTTTTCTTTGGCTGGAGCCTGGCTTTAGTTGAAGAGTTCTGTCAACAAATGGAATTC